>NC_000005.10:118291625-118594655 GCF_000001405.40 Homo sapiens
GCACCTCAAGATTAACCTGCTGCATTGGGGCAGCCTTCCCTTTCCTGCTGGAAAGGGAAGCAGGCAGCGAGGTGTTCCCAGACCGCTGGCCCTGGCACTCCGATGAGTGGTGCCAAAGCAAGGCACTTTGTTGGGGTCAGGATTCATGCTCTTTGGTGTGTAAGTAGTGGCAGCACAGCGGGGTACACATGTCAGCTGGGGTTGGGTACCAATGGAATATAGCTGCTGCATTCCTGCTTGCTTACACAGGTGGTTGTGGCGGAGGCAAGGGTGGCACACTGGCAGGCCTAGGGCTACTGGCCTCACTGCATGCCTTTGAAGTGCTGGTGGTGATGGGACAGGGGAACATAATTCTTTTGAAAAATAATTTTCACAGAAAATCTCTCATTTATTAGCTGAATTCCAGTATCTGCCAACCATTACAGACAAGAATACATCTTAAAGTTGCATCATCCAACCTATTGTTAGTATTGAAATGAAGCCTCTTTCTCTTTCCCTTGAAGTGGAATCATAAACACGTACACACATACTGGCACATGTGTATCATCTGTTGTAAGCTTATTACATCTCCCTATCACCCTCAAACTCTTGGGATTCAATAACTGGAATTTCTTTAGCATGTCTTTATAGATCTACTTATTCTTCATTTTCATCACCCTTCTTTGAGATATTTTAGCTCTCTATATCTCACTTCAGATTCTTAAAACTTGGAAGAAATGCTCCTCATTAAAGAGAGAAACTCAGTCCCCAAAAAACAAAGTCAGCCAAACATCTACAACCAAAACTGACTTTGGTAGGGTGTGCAGAAGGAGATGACACCTAATGAGACAGAGAAAGATGCAATTTAAAATCTGTCTCTCAACACAAATACTTAATTTTTAGCTTTGGTAGCCCATTTATACTATGTCACACCAATACAGTTAGAGAAATTGAAGCTGAAATTAATCTATTTCCTCTCAGCTCTGAGCCTGTCCCTTTCTAATCTTGTATAAGTAATCGTTGATTCAGATATCCTGTTATTTATGATGCTGTATCCTAGAAAATACACTCTTTGCTTAAAGCAAATGAGTTATAAACAGTTTTGCGGGTCAAATCAAACCACTCACTAAAGATGAGATTCATTAGAAGTGGAAAAGGACTGCATATATTGAAACCTCCTGCATGTCAGGCTCTAACTTAGACTTGTTATCTTATTTAACATACATAAATACACACACACACACACACACACATACACACAGAGAGAGAGAGAGATGGTTTGGCTGTCTCCCCACTTAAATCTCATCTTGAATTGCAATCCCCATAATCCCCAGAGGGAGGGACCCAAAGAGAGGCAATTGGATTATGGGGCAGTTCCCCCCCCATAATGATATCACTCATGATAGTGAGTTCTTAAGAGATCTGATAGTTTTATAAGTGTTTGACAGCTCCTCCTTCACATGCTCTCTCTTGCCTGCTGCCATGTAAGACATGCCTTCTTCTCCTTCCCCCATGACTGTAAGTTTCCTGAGGCCTCCCCAGCCATGCAGAACAAAGTCAATGAAACCTCCCTTCTTTATAAGCTCCCCAGTCTCAGGTAGTATCTTCATAGCAGAGAACAGACTAATAGAGTAACACCAAGTAGGTAAGAGTGCTATTTTAAAAAATAAGTAAACTGGGCTCAGAGAATTTGAGCAGTATCTCCTAGGGCACACAACTATTAAGAGGTTGATCTAGAAAACAAGTCATACTGACTCCAAAGTCAATGATTTGGGGAAGGAATGAAATAGTAAGGTAGTATAAAGACTATTTCCAGAACTATACCAGGAACATCCCAACTGAAATACACATTCAGTGTAGTGACCACTTTGCAGTAGGTTAATGAATAAAAAGTGTTATGAATGTCTGGGAGTTCCCCACCAACACCCTTGACAGCCAGTCCTGAAAGCCACAGCATTCTCATTACGTGGATAGAAGGCAGGCATATTTTCAGAAGAGAATTCCCATCAAGCTGAGAACTGTCTTAGCAGGCAGATAAGAGCTTCATGCAGCTCCCTGTCCTCTTGCCCTGCCAATCACATCCCATGTGCAGACAGCCTAAAAAAAGCCATTCCACAAATTACGAGAAGAAAAGAGGCTCTGTGAATGACTCTGCTTTGCTATTCTCCATGTGCCTAATGCATAGGTCCTCAAGAACTAGTCAGCAGCTACCATTCACTTAATGTGGCTTATATCTTGGTAATCTCATGTAATAGGATTTTGCATCTACAATGTTAATAAAATGCCAAGTCTCAAAAGGAGTTGAAGTGAAGTAATATTCTTTTTAATTCAAAAGTCTTGCTACACATCTGTGCTTTACAATTATTTGTCTAAAACAAATCGACTCATCAGTTAATTTCCTTAACTAAAGTAGTACATAAATTAGAATATCAATTACTAAAGAATAATGACATCAAAGTTACGGATTTAGCCATTTTATTGACTCAAAATGGATCTTTTCCTTGAGAAATATCAATAACTAAAACTATGACTAAGACAGTTAATAACAATTAATGCATAAAGTCAGAGACCAAATCACTTTTAGCCCTGTTACAAGCATTGCCTGGTCACTAGTTTGATTTTTGACCTTGTTAATATGGATGTCAGAGGGCATGAGGGTATACCATGTCACTTTAAAACCTAATTCTTCATGCCTAAATGGCCCTTCACCATACAATGGATGGAAAGCAGTAAATTGTATATTCCAAGCACTTCTGGTAGTATTTTTTATAAGAGAAGCTCATAGATTTTTCTGGGTTTTTTTGTTTTGTTTTGCATTGGTTTTGCTTTTATCAAATCTTTGATTTAAACTATGTTAGATTATGCTGAAAGAAAAGCAACAGTATCAGGTTAAGTTTTCAGGGGTAAAATATGCTTATAAATAAAATAGTCCCTAACGTAAAAGAGACAATGTGAAGACATCTCAAGAGAAGATGTGAAGACATCTCAAGAGAAGATATAAAGACAGTATTACAAAGAAGAAAAATAGGCATTAAATTAGGTGACATGCCTTGGACAAGAAAAGGGAACCAAAGAGCAAAGTGTTAGAGAGGGGCTGGAAAAGGGAAACGTTCAGGCAGTTCTGAGCCCTCTTTTATTCTTCCAGGGCTGAGTAGGAGTGCTACAGAAAACACTGGAAATGTGAGAATAGGATCTCCTAGGAAAATGAGAACATAATTTTCTTCCTGCATTAGAATCACTAATAACTTTCATATAGCTCTTGCAGTTAAACGCACACACACACTTACATACACACTCCTTATTAAGAAATTAATGTAATTATCATCCCCATTTAAAAGATGAGAAGCCCAGTTATTAGTGATTAATTTATTTGCCCAAGTTAACCCAGCTAGTCAGAATTAGAATTCTGGCTTGAGCTCTGGTTTGCAATATCAAATATTGTGTTTTTTTTCCCATTACACCATGTTATTCTTAATTAGCAATTGTTTGTGTGGCAAGAGAGAACACAAAAGTGATTGCTTTTTCTGCCTTTTCCCTGCTACGGAGTAAGGATACTTTTGCTGGAACAGATTCAAGAAATGCAGGGGAAAAACGAAGCCTTAATATCCACAGAGGTTAAGAAGATCTACATAATAAAAAGCAAAGGTTAGGGGCTTGGGACGGAGACAGCAGCTCTATTGGCTCAGCTTAGGAGGCAACGTGAGGGCGACAAGGAATTCTTTTCCTACTCTAAGAGTGTCTGCAATAAATTCTGTATAAATTTTAAGTAGTAGCTTTGAGCATTAATGTAATAATCTGTTGTTTTTTTAAATAGATGTTGCCATACTTTGGGAATATATATATATATATAATGAAATACATGTATTTCGTTTTGCTTACTGAACTGCTATTACTTTGGCTCCATACTAACATTAGACCACATGGACTCTAGGCTTATGTGGGCTTCCTTTGTGTAATATATCTTTTTAATATTCTGGTAGTAATGGTAAAATGTAAAAGCCAATACTGGAAAATTTTACAAAATAATAAAGTTAAAACAGAAACTGTGCAAATATACAGTAAACCAAAGCCTCCAGTCTTCTTTTTTTCCCTGAACAACTTCTACCATTGGTCAAAATGGTCTATGTTTTGTTACTTGAAGGTACTGCAGACCTTTCTGGCTTCCTATCTTTGCTCCAGTTTTCCTTTAGGAATGGCTTCTTGTGCTTTTCCAGATGAACACCATGCATCTTAATTTATAGATCTCTTCTTTAACTAAGAACTCCTTAAGAAATGCATGTGTTCATTTTGCAGGAATTCATTGAATTGTGGGGGATGCGTAAAATAAGAGATAGAAACTTAAAGGGAGTTTACTACCTATTTGGAGATGCTATATGGAAGTAGAGAGTAGGGAACAGCCATATCCATTTCAAAGTAACCTACATAAAGTAGAAATCTTAAGACCCTTTGGATAAGTGAATCTTCTTTAGGTATTTTGATCACTTCCACTGAGTGTAAGGCAGCTGGAAAGATGATTCAAGGGCTCATTAGCTGATTGTCAAAGCAAAATCATTCCTAGCTTTAGCCATTTGAAAATCAAGCAGAGGAACTGGGAAGATTGCCCAGCAGGCAGCAAAGAGATGTTTCTACCACGAGACGATGAAAGAGATTTGAATATTATAAATTTAATTGCAGTCTTCATTTCTGAGCCTCCTACTGACCATAGACATTGAAAGAATTGGTCTTGTTTGTGACTCTACTAATACAAGGTCCTGATATTAGTCAAGCAATCAAATGAAGTTTCCTACATGTACTTACTTTATGCCAAGCCAACAGTTTAACAACTCAGGGTAGCAAACTGAAAAGGCTACTCTACCCAACACAGAAAAGCATGAAAGTGTGAATAGTGTATTCACACACTAGGGACAACAGGATGATGCTGTCTTATTCCCTCAATAAGTTCAGTGAATTCTTGTCCAGTGTTATGCCATCCTCTCTAGGTTTTATTTTCTTTGTGTCATGTTGGACTCCACGGATTTCTAAGCAACAGACAAAGGTAATAATCTCCTTCTTATGATGCTATAAATACAGAGCCACCTGTTTGATTCCAAAAGGAAGGTAAAGTTCCTTTTAGATAATGGTAGAAATCCAGGTAAGGTGATATGCACTGGAATACTTTAAAAATACACTGATATACAAGGAATATGGGAACAGAATCTAGAAAATTGTGAACAAGAAATAAGCACCCTGGTGAAGAAAAATCAAACCTCCCTAAGTACAACTTTTTCCAGGAAAGCTATAATATAAATATTGAACAAATTTGGATTCAAGACTACGTTTTTAACATAGTTAACTGTATTGCTTTCAATTAAAATATGGTTCATATTTTATTGGTATATTAGGAATTTAAAGTGATTGTCCAATTTAGAAAAAATGCAGATACATTACAGACATTTCTTTTTTTAATGCTGTCTCCTACTTTTATATTAAACTGTTCAACTGCTGTCTAATATCTGTCCTCCATCCCCCCAGTTTCTGGCCTCTAAACAGCAGCAAACCGACTTACGTGACATTCAGTGTCTTCTCTTCTCTCTGCTCAACCCCTAGTAAGCCACAACTAGTCAGTTCAAGTGAGAAAATACAAGTAAAAGGCAAATAAAGTGTATCAATTTTTATCCCTGAACAGTCAAGCAGGGACTAAAGTGTCTTCCAGAAATTGTCTTTTGTAACTAGAAATCTAGATATTTGAAAAACTAGAATAAAATTTGGCCACATAAAAAATGCCCCATTTAAAGTTGTGTTATAAGTAATTTGTATTAATTTGGGACCATAACTTTTATGCTGCTATGTGCATGGCAAAAGATAAAAAAGGCAATGTTTCAAAAAATTAATAGTGTTATTTCTACAGGGTAAGGTAATGTCACATACATCTACACATTTAAAATGAACAAGTATAATTTTAAAATTGGGGGAAAACACAGTAAGACACTTTGAGAACATATTGTCCTTGCATAAAAGACTTTTATGCAAATAAATTTTGTCTTGGTACAACAGTTCCAACAGAGTACAACTAAAACTCTACTTGATTCTAAAAGTGTATGTTCCTTTTGAATTTAATACTTAGCATTTATGACAGGATATACTTGAAGCAGTAAAAAAAAAAAAAGCACAATTTTGCCTTTGAAAAACAAAGTAGGTTTTCTCCACAGACAAAATGAATATAATAAAAGCCAAATGTTTTAACAGATGAGTAGAGAACTCATGATTGAAAAAAAAATACAGGAACTCAAAGTCATCTTCAAAGCAAGTAGTTTCCAGAATCATACAGTGTATGTAACAGACATTTGCAGAATTTTACTGAAGTATAATCCAACATATACAATGAATCTTTTCCAGTGAAAATAAACTTTGCCTGGGATCATAGTTATGACATATTTAATTATTTTCTGGATACTCAATTACACAATGATCAACTCCGATCCCTAAAATTGATAACATAAACACCCAATAAAATGATGACACAGTAGCTTAAATTTCAGAGGGTTTTCAAAGTCTTAAATAGTTGAAATGATTTCAGTTAGCATTGGTCTCCACAGGTCTCCAAATTTTTCACAAGACAAATACAACCTCAATAAATTTCAAGAAATATTTGCTTTTGCTATTTCCAACATGTGTCAAATTTTCTACGAAGACAGAGTTTGAAGAAAAATTTTTCTGGCCTTAGTTATTTATGCCAATTGGATTCACATCAATGATACTGAAAACTCTAAGCAGCTGTTTCTGGTTCTCACCAGACTTGCAACAAAATAAAAATTCCATCTGATTAGTATCAATGTAATTTTAAAACTAACACATTCATACAAAACAAGTCCAAGACAAAAATCCCCCTAAAGTCATCTTTTCCTGGGTTCCTGATTTAAGAAGCACAAAGCTACATATACTTAAGATCTGATCAGAAAAAAAAATAAGAAGTGATAAATTCAGCAACCTCTTTTGCTGCACATTGAGCACCTTTTCAGTAAAAGCTGTGGAATTACATGTTTTTGTTCTAGAAGTATCACGTGTGGGAGGGTAGAGCTAGAGAAGAAGTCAGAGCATAATAAGTATCTCAGAAATTTAAAATACTAGGCACTTTATATGTATTATCTAATGTAACCTTCCCAAAAGTTCTATGAAGTAAATATCATTATTTATTATTCCGATTTTATGGAAGAAGAAACTGAGGCAAAGAAGTTCCAGTGATCAGATCAGGTGGCACAGTTAGTAACTAGCAGAGCACAATTTAAGCCCAAATCTGTCTAATACCAAAGTCAAAGCTTCCAATGTATTAACTACCCTACCTTTCAAGAAAATGCACAGGGTCACGACTTTTCTATAAACTGGCGCTTTATTGTCCTAGCACAGCTCTGACTAAAATTTGTGTCTAGGGTATCAATATTTCTGTGAAACCTACATCTCCTCTCAGATTACTGATCTCTTTTTCCAGTTTCTAACCAAATGGAGAAAGGAATTATGATGTGAATTCCATAAAATTTACGTTATCAGGTTGCAAGAAGATGGGAGAGCAACTTTGTCTGTTCCCTTAGGTAGTTCCTAAAACCACTGAAACCAATCTAAAATACTTAGCTTTGTCATAGATCTCCCTCTCTCTCTCACACTCTCTATCTAGTCCAGCTTCTCTTGAAAAGAGGAAAGAGATCTGGCAGACCTGGTGAAGCATTTCTGCATACCAACAATTTTCAGGAAAATGGGCTTGAAGTCTGCAGTTCAGTGCAGCTGGTGTCACTCAGCTATTGCACCTGAAGTTTTGTTCTTCCCTAGTTGGTCCCATGGGTAGCTCTAGAGAATGTTAGTGTGCTTTAATGTATGTGATTCTAAGTATGTCTGCTCCTGACTTTTAAAGACATGACTTTTAAAACACCAAATTCGTATTTGAGCAATACCCAATTAATATTGTGGTGGTCATTTGTAATCCACATCATTTCCTGTTTGCTTTCCTGGGACATTGTAGCATTGTTCTTCCCTAGGTACTTGAGGTTATATGTGGCTATTAATTCGCCCTGGACAAAGAAATGTTACCGTAAGAGACACCTGGCAATTTTAGGAAGAAGCTTTAAGTGCTAGGCTGAGAATCACTACAGTTTTTATTTTCTTTGCTATATGAGGAGCTGCTCTGTGATCCTGAATACAGGCATAACGATGATGCCAAGCAGAGCCCACAGCAGCCTCAGTGGATATTTAACAAGGGAGAAAAATAAACCTGATGTCTTAAGCCATTAAGGTTTGATGGCTGTTTGCTACCACAAATAATGCCCCCTGTTTTGATGATTACCACCACATTATGAGTGGCAGATTATAATACCTTTGCAAAACCAGCCATCTGCTGCCTGCGGAATGTACTGGCTCACCTTTAATGTTCAGAATAAATAGCCCAGCATATACCTTGAAAGTGAAAAAGGAAGAAAGAAGGAGGAGGAAGAAGGAAGAAGAGGAGGAGGAGAAGGCAACTAAAGGCAGCAATCATTGGTAACATTGGCAGTATAGTGATAAGAGTATTCTTCCAAATATATTCCCAAGTGTTACTAGAATCACCATGGAGATTATAATACAACACAACCTAAGCTTACCTACGCCAGTGTAAGTTGTCATCATGTAAGACTTAGAATGTTGGACTAGGAGAAATCAAGGAAGCCACATTCTTATTTTATAGAGGAAGAAATCAAGGTCAGAAAGATATTCAGTGCTGTGAAATAGAGCTTTCTCCAGTGATGGAAATGATATTCTGTACTGTTTAGCATAGTAGCCATTATCTATGTGCCTTAAGGAGCACTTTCTGTATGGTGGCATAATGTGATACATCTATACAGGCAACTGAGAAATTGACTTTTAATTTTACTTCATTTTAATGTATAATAAATATTCTCATGTGACTGGTGACTACTGTATTGGACAACATAGGTTTAAATACTTTCCCAAAGTAATAAAAGTAGTTAGCATCAAGGTCAAGATTCAAAAGCAGTTCCTCTAAACCTCAGCTTAGAGTATTTTCTAAGTTTCCTAAGAATATGGAGCAGATTGGCTCTTATCCTTATACACATATGAACAGTAACATCTGTTTTCTTCTAGTACTACTGCTTTATACATGAATTCTCCTAGACTCTGCGCTAGTATCCCATAGTAACTTACTATTTTGCCATTCTCTATGCAGTTGTAAGTATGTGACTCTAAGTATATCTGCACCTGTCTATATGAGGCATGACCTTTACACAATGATTTTCTTTATCCTGCTGTAAACCTTAGACTTGGTAGTTGGCTTTGTGTCAAGTAACATGATTTCAGGAGTTCTCTAAAATGCT
Organism: Homo sapiens; assembly: GCF_000001405.40. NCBI lineage: Eukaryota > Metazoa > Chordata > Mammalia > Primates > Hominidae > Homo > Homo sapiens. The sequence goes on from NC_000005.10 coordinate 118,300,940, forward strand.
TACCTATACTCCCTTTTTATTAATTCAGGTTCTAAATAATGCTTCTCACTTTAATCTTCTCATTTTATCTTGCAAATTGATAGAATGATAAATAAGAGGTAAAGTATAAAAATATTTCATGAAAATTTCAATAAAGTGAATTCATACTGGTGTATTAAAGAGTGAGAGCTGATTCATTCCAGTGATGATTGATAAGTGAGGGAGTAGAATGTGATCATAGGCTTGCCATCAGTGCTATAATTTGTTTATTACTGAGCCCTTACTATGTGTACAAGCTTTTTACATATACTTAGTTCCAGGATCACAAAGAGGTAGATTCTGCTTATATCTCTATTTTATGTATTTCCAAAATCACATATCCAGTAAATGAAGCTTGGTTCAAAATCAGGCAGTGAGTCTATGCCATAATAGCCTAGGCAAAATAGACAATGTGAAAATATAAGGAACTAAGAACAAAAAAAATGAGTTTCTCTCCTGTATCTGCCATGAATTTGCTCCACAAAATTGTGCAAGAAACAACTCCCCCGAGCTCATTCCTTTATAGTAATAAAAATAGGTTGTTCTAGATGTCCTCTAAGGCAGCTAGAATACTAATAGAGTATGGAGGTGCAGATTCTAGTCCAAGCTAAAATCTCGTTGAGACCTTGGGCATTTTTCTTACTGTGCATCTTTTAGCCTGTAACTTGTCTGTAAAATGTTGCTAATATTGCCATTTTATAGATTTGTTGTAAAGATTAAATGAAGTATGCCGCTAAAGTACCTGGCATGGTGCCTACAACTATAGAAGCTTAGAAATTATAATGTCCTTTTCCCTTTTAGCACTAATATCCAAATATTCTAAGTGAAACTACCACATAAAACATTCCTTAGCCTTTCAGCAAACATTAATTAACTAAAAACACTACGTGTGATTCATTTACGATCAGGCTGTGGTATACAGCCTGATCTGCACCTGACTATATGACGCATGACCTTTACACAATGATTTTCTTTATCCTACTGTAAATCTTAGTCTTGGTAGGTGGCTTGGGTGTCAAGTAACATAATTTCAGGAATTATCTAAAATGCTTTCCTACACTCCATTGGTACCAATACAGGCAATATTGATATAAAGGGATTATATTGATACAAAGGGAACTACTAGCCATTACTTGTGCCTGTGATGTAACAAAGGCTGTACCACATCAGTGCATAAATCACAAGGTGTATCTATATGTAAGAAAAAGAAAATTATTTGCTGAATAGCAATGAAGTCTTAATACTCAAACTAGTACATGTGTGAAACACTAGTACATCTGTCAAGCAAAATGCAATGTAATAAGTCAAAAATTAATTTTAAGTATTCCATCATATAAAAAATGGTTATTATAAATTACATAGTATTTTCAAACATTCAAAGATTTGGGGACCAGAACTTTCCCAGATGTGGAGGGAGATAAGTACCTACAAGAACTCAATTGATAATGCATTTCAACTCAAAAGGAGAAGAGAGGATTTTTTTTCATCAATGATAAGGGGTACATATCATACAATGCAATAATAAAAAAAAGCAAAGTTGCCAACATAAGGAGGGATAGCATTAGGAGATATACCTAATGCTAAATGATGAGTTAATGGGTACAGCACACCAACATGGCACATGTATACATATGTAACAAACCTGCACATTGTGCACATGTACCCTAAAACTTAAAGTATAATAATAAAATTTTTAAAAAATGTAGCCAATCTCATCAACATTCCAAAGACTTTTTATAGAAATTTACAACTGATTCTAAAATTTATATAGGAATGCAGAAGATCTTGGAATAACCTAAGTGATTTTTTAAAAACAAGAACAAAGTTGGAGGATTTATCCTACCTGATTTCAAGACTCAGTATAAGCTATAGTAATCAAGATAGTTGGTATTAGCAAACGGCTAAATAGTTAGATCATTGGAGTAGCATCCAGAATTAAGCCCACACTTTCATGTTCAATGGATTCTTGATAAAGGTGTCAAGGTAGGTCAATAGGAAAATGAAAGTCTTTTAGCAAATTATGCTGAATCAACTAAATACCTGAGAGAAGAAAAATGAGCATCAATGCTTGTCTAATATCATATTAAAAATATTAACCTGAAATGGAACCTAGAAATGTATAGACATAGATATATAGAATACATATATAAAATCCAAACTACAAAATTTCTAGAAACAAAATCTTTGTGCCATTGGGAAAAACAATTCTTAGCAGAACACAGAAAGCATAAAACATTTTAAAAAGTTATAGTATGCATTTCATCAAAATTTACAAATTTTTGGTCATCAAAAAACCCCACTAAGAAAGGGAAGCCACAGACTTGGAGAAAATATTTACAACAAATATGTAAAACAAATCACTTGTATTCAGAATATGTAAAGTATGCTTAAAACTCACTAAAAGAAAAAATAATTTTTAAAATATTTGGACAGATATTTTACCAGAGATGATATATGATTGGTCAATAAGCACATGAAAGGATGTTCAATGTTACTTGTCATCACAGAAAAATGCAAATTAAAACTGCAATGAGATAACCTCTACATATTTGTTAGAATGGCTAAACTAAAAAGACTGTCCATATCGAGTGTTGGTGAGATGTGAAGCAGCTACAACTCTCGTACACTGCTGATGAAAATTCAGATTGGTATTTCCTAGACTTTTGAAAACTGTTTGATACTGTCATAAAATGTCAAACATAAACCTAATATATGATCTAGTCAAATACTCATTTTGAGGTATTTTCCCGGGATAAATGAAAACACTTGTTTACGCAAAGACTTTCATGAGAATGTTTACAGCAGTTTTATGTGAAATAGCTAAAAACTGGAAACAACCCAAATGTTCATCAATAGGTAAATGGATAAACAAATTATGGCATATCTATATAGTACAATACTATATACAATCAATACATCTATTGATATGTTCCATAAGGATGAAGCTCAAAACTATTACACTGAATGAAAAAAGTCAGACACAAAACAGTACATAGAGTATGATTCCACTAGAACATATTGATATGGTTTAGCTCTGTCCCCACCCAAATCTCACCTTGAATTATACTTCCCACAATCCCCACGTATCATGGGAACAACCCAGTGGGAGGTAATTTAATCGTGGGAGCGGTTACCCACATGCTATTCTCATGATAGTGAGTGAGTTCCATGAGATCTGATGGTCTTACAAGGGGCTTTTCCCCCTCTTGCTCGGTACTTCTCCCAGCCATCATGTGAAAAAGGACATGTTTGCTTCCCCTTCCACCATGATTTTAAGTTTCCTGAGGCCTCCCCAGCCCTGTGGAACTGTGAGTCAATTAAACCTCTTTCCTTTATAAACTACCCAGTCTCAAGTATGTCTTTATTAGCAGTGTGGGAATGGACTAATACACATATCATCTGATCTATAGTGATAGAAAGTCTATCAGTGACTATCTGGGGACAGGGGTGAATAAAGGGAGAGATTACTGAGGGTCATGAGGAAACTTTTGGAGGTGGTGAAAGTGTTTGTTATCTTTACTGTGGTGATAGTTTCATGGATGTCCAGATATGCCAAAACTTAGCAAATTGTATATTTTAAATATGGGCAGTTTATTATACATCAATTATCCGTCACTAAAGTTTTTTTTTTTTAATGCAGCAAAAATGCCATGAACAAACTTAGAAAATGGGTCAGTTAGGGCCAAAATATTTATAGCACATATAAATAATAAAAGATAGTTTTTCAAATTTATACAACTTATTTAACTTAATAAAAGAATGACCTGCCAAATGTCAGTGTGCAAAGACTATGTATTAACAGACTGTTTAACTTCAAAGGACAGAAGGATGCCAGGAAGGAAGAGAGGGAGGGAAGGAGAGATGGAAGGAGGAAGGAGGGAAGGAGGGGAAGAGGGGAGGAAGAAAGGCCAGTAAGAAATATCCAGTAAGCATATACTGGTCAAAATGACATCCTTTTTTTCTTCGTATCCCTATACTGGCAATGGTGTGGTTGAAGAGACAATTTAAAAAGATAAACTGATGAAAACTTGTTGGATAGGCAATTAGTCAATACCTACCAAATTTTAAAATTTGCATACTCTTTGATTTAAAAATTACAAATTAATATATTTGTATAAGGATGCTGATTGTAGAATTGAAAAAAACCACACACAAAATAGCCTAAATGTCTATTCGTAGGAAGAGACTTAATAAATTATGATATAACATGCAATAAAATATTATGCAGTTTTGTGAAAATAAACTCACTGACATAGTAATATCTCCTAGATACAATAGACGAAAAGGGCAAGATACAGAACAGTATGTGGTATAACTGTTTCCTTATTAAATTTTTTCTTAAAAGACACATACACCACTGGGAATATTGATATGCATAATTTTTCTGATAGAAAATGCACAAGCTGTTAGACACTGTTAAGGGATTGCCTTTTAGGAAAAGGATTGGGTTAAGAAGGAAATATTTTTTTCTTTTCCATTTTATGTCTTTCAGTGTGGTTTAAATTCTACAAAATGTTTTACTTTCTTTTGTATGTCAAAAGAAATTTCTTCAGGAATAAGACGTTATTGCTTATTTCTCCTTTCACAAAGTTGATAATCAAAAACACTAAATTTTTAAGAATAGCTTCATTAATGAATGATTACATTTTACAATAGAAAGAATTTTGATCTGCAGGCAAGGAAGGTGAAGATAGTTGACCTTCCTAAACAACGCTGGTGAGACATCCAGGACTCAAGTCTTTCACTGACTACACATCTTATTTAAATTTCTAATACACCATTGATTATTGGCTCAGCATTCATGCCTCATTCTAGGGGGTGGTCTCCCAAGGCTAGGTGGTTTTGTCCCTGAGTCTGTGCCTAAGCTAACCTTTTAATCAGCCATTCTAACATTCTACTGGGCTGGCTGCTTCAGGAAGATGAGGCATATGGTAAAACTCATAAATCCTATTGTCCTTTGCCTGTTGTCATACCTCCTTATAAAGGTTGCATTTAGTTAACCTACTCCCAAGTGGTTGGCAGTCTTCTTGAAGAATGGTGCTAAGTCCAGGGCTTAACATCGATTCGTGCTCCTGGCAGAGAGATTGTTGAACAGTACTAGGATCTAGATCAGCCTTAGTGAGAGAGAGTTCATAGCGTTGTGCCCTAACCCTGTCACTATGGCCACTCCATTCCTGGCTGTGTTGTGCCAGCATAGAGTGCCCAATGACAGAGAATGGTTGACATCTACAGAATGAGATCCAATCCATTTAAGTGTTTAACATCTCCTCCACCGTGAACAGTCTCTGTTCTAAGACACAAAGATCTTTACAGTTTGTACCATCTTGCTTGGTCCATCCTTGCTCTCTTCCACGGACCTATTTTTCTCAGATCATCCTGCCTTGTTCCCTCCAATCTCCAGACCGACTAGCTAAGCCATTTCCCACTGTTCACGGGGCCATGTAAAATTCTACATTAGGAAATTTCTTCATCTATACAAACATAACGACCAAATGCCATTTTTGCACAGTGGGATGATTTCCTTTCACAACACCCTTAGTGCTACCCTTGACTGGGGAGCAGTGTAGTAGCAGTCAATTTCAGGCAAGCATAAACCATACTGAGACAACTTATCTGTGACCCAAGCCCAGGATTTTTCTCTTCTGTCAGCTGATTCTAGGAAAATCTCTATTATGAGTTGTGAGCTGAGTGAGACATACGTGCATGGGAGTTTACACCAAAGGCCCATGCAATTTATTGTGCCTACTGGGCCTGCTTGGCCCAATTACAAATATATTATTTCCTTCTCACAAATGGTTGAAGCTATATCTGCCCAACCTTATGATTTAGCACAACTGATAATGTTTAGCTCATGAGAGAAGCTCTCCCTATGTGGCCACTTTTCCCATGGTCAGGTGTTCAATTTCACTAAAGCCTGTTAGTCTCCTAAGAACTCTATTTCAAACAGAAAGTAAGTCACCACTTCAGAAGCTGTGGCTTTGGTCTAGAATGCTGATTACCTGTGCTGGGACTCCTCTACTGGTAGTTGCCAGAGACATTATATCATGTCCAAGCTTCAAGGAGCCATCCAACAGCTTATCTTAGTAAGACGCTGAATTCCAAGACGTGGGTTAGTGCTCTCATATTAATGAATTCTCCACAATTCAGCCTTATATTTTGCAGCCCACAATACAACACCCTCAAGATCTATTCTCATACAAGTTTTCCCATTTGTTAATGGTACATATGAGCTAGATCCTTAATTTCCTTCAGTGTGTAAGCTAATTTCTTCCTGAGCAGAAACTGCAATTTCTTGCTCAGGCTCCACTGAGTCTCAACTCTCGTAACTCCTTTGGAAGCAAAGATGTGTGGCAGGGAATTAGTATGAGGATGAGTAATAAATTTCAAGACACCTACCCCATGCATGGGTTTTACAGGATCTCCAGAGAAATTGAGGCTTTTCTTGTCTGTTAAATGAGAAGGCTACATCTCCAACCCAAGAGTATTCAGAAGTATTTCATCTTTCAAGATTCTTACGTGTATTTGCCCAGCTTTTTCCACTCCATGCCTCAGGGTCATATTTTCTTATTAGGACCATAACTTTACACAGGAAATGTGGGAGTCTGTGAATTAAGTCTCTTTTTCACCTCTGCTATTCTTACTAATAGATCTTCAACTTGGTTTTCAACCTAAAATGTCATGTACCTTAAGCAATAATAATCTCTTTAATTCTCTCATGGAAGACCTCTAGCTTTCAGAACTGACCTTGATTTGGTAATTAGCTGATCTAAATCTGTCATTTCTTTTTTCAAGACTTCCAGACAGCAGTTAACAAAAGCCAGTGAACTCCACAATTCTTGTAATTACCGTTACCCTCAGACTATTGAAGTCCCATAGTTACCATGTAACCCAAAACATCACCTTCTACGTGGCCCTCATCTCAAAACAGCATTGGGAGATCCTTTGTAACTATGACCAAGCAATCCAACTTCAGGAGCCCATTATCTGTTTTTATGGTCACTCCTGGCACTAACTATCTGAGCTCCCCCTGAAATCAGATACTGAGGCAAAGAATCATATGCAGGTAACTTATCTAGAAACTTTACCATGGAGATACAGCGTGAAGGGCAGAGAAAGCAAAAAAGAAAAATAAGGAAAAGCTAATACAAGCTTTTAGCTTTTCCTTATTTAGTAACAAGTGCTACTAAGTTGGCCACTACACCCTGCAGTACCCTCTGAAGTGTCTTATGGAATGTAACTCAAAACTATTTGCCCAAAAGATAATTTGGAAGGCATTTATCCATGGCTATAATCCCATATTGTTCAACAATATCTTATGTATGTCAAGTCATAATCCCAGATTGTGCAGTTATAAGCGTCAAGTAAGTTCCGTGGGTTCTACATGTCTGAGGCTCAGAGAAACCCCCAATCAGGAAGTAAAGGTTATCAGAACAGAACCTGCCCAAAGATAGAAGTAAGAAATTGAGTTAAGGATTCAAAGTGGTACATAAGAAGAATCTGATACTTCATTTGATTTTCTCAGTAAGCCTATGTGTTAGATACTCCTTTTTTGTTTTTTTGTTTTTTGAGGCGGAGTCCCACTCTGTCGCCCAGGCTGGAGTGCAGTGGCGGGATCTCGGCTCACTGCAACCTCCGCCTCCCAGGTTCAATCGATTTTCCTGCCTCAGCCTCCTGAGTAGCTAGGATTATAGCCATGCACTACCACGCCCAGCTATTTTTTGTATTTTTAGTAGAGACAGGTTTCACCATGTTGGTCAGGCTGGTCTCGAGCTCCTGACCTCATGATCCGCCTGCCTCAGCCTCCCAAAGTGCTGGGATTACAGGTGTGAGCCACCGTGCCTGGCCATGTTAGATACTCTTGTTAGCCCCATCTTACAAGTGAAGAAGCAGACACAAGGAATATGTTTAACCCAGGCTAAGTGCAAGTAGTAGAGCCAAAATTTGAAGGCAGGTAAAATTTGACTCTTTGGAATCTTAACCAACACCCTACACTGTCTCTCCAACATGAGTAGGTACCAAATACGTAAAGGCAGTGAGCTGAACATGTCAATTATGAAGGAGCTTCCCTTGACAGCAGAAACAGTAGAGGAGCCGAACTAGCCTAATCTGATCCAGAATTGCTATTCTTTCCCCAAACCAGATAATATGACTAATGCTACTTTATTCTTAGCAGGTTATCACACTATTCATAAGCAGTAAGATAACCTGAGCCACTCTGTAATGCAACAAACCTCTTACCACTAACCCAACCAGAGGTCACTGACAGATTCGGCAAAAGCTGCTCTAATCCTCAGAAAACTCATATTTCCTGTCACATTTTGTTCTGTCTATGTTTAATTCAAGGAACATTAAAAGGGCATTGGAATTCTAGAACCTACAGCATTAATTGCTGCTAATGGGCCTGATAGATCCAATAGAAACAGCAAAACAAACAAGAAATTGTTCAATTATAACTCTATTTCCCAAAAATAAATACCTATGGGATATAAGTAGCTTTGTTATTTTTGATAAGAATTATATAAAACACCTGATTAGTATTGATAAACAGACTGCAACACAGTTGGTGTCACTTCTCATTTCTTTCACAGTTTCAGCAGGAGGCAATGCAGTATCATTGTTTTCTCATCACTGAATAACAAAGCAATACAATCAGATGCACAGGATATTCTGAAGCAGTTTCCATGGTTAGTTAAAATTTTCCTATAAGCGTACCCAAAAAGGTTTGAGAATCCTCTCCTGTGGGTAGAGATCATCTAAAATTAATAAAATGGCACAAGAAGGCAAAGGAAGAGTCCTCAGGTGGCTTTTTCTATTCCCTTTTCCAGAATGGAACGGCTCTTTAGAACCCGCTGGATGGGGAAAATCACACAGTATACAAAGCAGCCTTGTCTGCAGAGATAATGCAAGGCAGGATGTGCAAAAAGTGACCAGAGGTCAGCAGTCCCTGAACCAGCCTGTACATTTGAAGTGTGTTCCCACTCCAGTCTATCACCAGGTCCAGTTCCTCCCTTTTTGCTTGCCATGAATCTGATGTGTATTAATAATCATGCCCATTATACTTATTGTAGTCTAAAATCATATTACAACTTCTGGAGTGATTGATGCCCACATAGAGGAGCCTAACTGGCCTAATGTGATCCAGAAATGTATAGAAATGAACAGAGAGATATCATTCCAAAAGTTGCCATTGAACTTCTATTCTCAATTAAGAAATTGTATGCCTTAAATGTTAGAGCTCAATGTAAAATTAGACAAGCTAGCCCAGTATTTCCTAAATGCCTTTCCTTCATGATTCTTGCCATATCTGCATCCCGTCAGTACTATTATTTGCTAAACATTTCATTTTTCACTTTTTTACTTAGCATTAACATCTAGAAAATTATATGCATTATTTTTTTGAATATGCATTGAAATAAATGCATAATAACTAATAGGTTGCATACGCCACCTAAAATAATCTTAACTGTCACCACTGTGTATGTACATACCACACCTTAGAAAATGATAATCTCCTCAAACACCCGCTTTTAGATGGAGAAACTAATGAGACAAGTAAATTTCCCAGTGTCACTAATCTAGTCGGTGCTGTGGCTGGGACTGACACACAATTCTCTTGCCTTGCAATGCAGGCTATTTCGTGTGCATCATGCTGACTCAACAGAATGAAGGAAAAGCATGATAAATGGGGCAACATTAAAAACTTATTGCACTTCTTGGCTCCATGTAGTGATTAAGGATCTATACAGATGTCTAAGCAAAAACAGAGCAACCTCACTGCCCTTTCTCACCCCCCAGAATTTCTCCTCCTCTATGTTCAATGATTTTAGCAGACATTATTCTACTGTCTTATGGTTTTTATTCCTCATCTTCACCCTTATCAGTGTTATTATTCCTTCTGTCTCTATTAGAGGTCATGATCTCTTCGAAAGTTGGGAGTAAAGGCCAAGATGTTGCATTTTGCCTATAAATAATCATCTTTGTACCTAGGATTTATAAAGTGCTTTATAGTTTTTTCAAAGCCCTTTCCCAAGTTTTATCATTTTCAATCCTCACAACATCATTATAGAATTCATACTTTACTGAGGATGTTTCTTCTGGGTTGCATGCTATAATCAAAAAAAGAATCTCCCATAATAAGGAAGAAGAGAGACGCAATTAAAATTACTGAAGAGTTACCATAAAAATATCGCAATATATCTGTTAATCTATCACTCTTTTATTATACTTTTGTATTCTTAGCAAGAGTGATGTAAGCGTAGCGATGCCATGCTAAGAAATGTACCTTTCTTCAGTAAAATGTTCCATTTTATCCATTATCTTAAATGATGGGCTTGTGAAAGCTGTCAGTGAAGTCACTTCAACATTGCAGTCTTCAATGCATGGAATAAAAAGTGACATTCTCTTGATTAAAATTAATTTCCTTGCCATGGAAGAACATGCAATATCCATCTCCCTAATGGTTCTAAAGTCCTTGGAATAATAGATCAGGCAGTTAAAGTAAATAAACATGGCTCCCAGGAGGGGGCAAGGTTTTTTCGGGCTAGAGTCAGGGTAACCCTGGAGAAAAACAACTCCTTAACAATACCAGACAGACAGATGATTTTGGTGGCCAAAGGCACCATCTTCAGTAATCTGTAATTAATGATGTCAGCCCAGGATATGGGATCCAATAAGATAGTGTATTACAGACCACAGACTCACCCCAAGCCCCATTAGGTGGCTTCCTTTGAATACATCTCTCTGAAAAATTACATTTGCAAGTTTACCAGCTCTTAAAGGTCACCAGTAAATTAAACTGCAGTGTGTCATGTGGGGGCTTAATGACCATGAGAGTTAATGTACCTCTCTAATTATCACCTCAATCACATAGAATGGCTTATTCATCTTAACCTGACCTATCACTTGCCTGTTAATCTGTCCCACCACAAGTTAGTGCTTGTAGGAAAAGATTCTTAATGGCTCTCAAATGGTTATGTAAGAATCTACAGTCAACTCCTTGCTTCCATATATGAGTTTGCAATATAAAAACATGAACTGCAGTCTGCTATCACCTCTCTTCAGTCTACTCTTCTTTAATGTCCAGCACATTCTTTGACTTCCTTCTCCCAAGTGCTGAGTCAGTGTGCCTACCCACTGGACTACCAAAAGTAAACCATAGAATCAAAAATCCACTGGAAAATGCCTCTTCCAAACCATCAACTGAGGGGGAAAAAAGTTTTAACACATAAGATCAAAAAAAAGTGTTGATATTAATATGTAAAGAGGTCATAAAATTAATAAGAATAAAGCAAACATTCTGTAGGAAAGACTTCGGTAGATGACAGAATCAGATAGTGCACTAAATAAGATGCATAAATTGCTGATAAACATGTGAAAAACATTCAACAGTTTAATTGAAAACACACATTTTAAAGTAAAATGCCTTTTTGTCTATTAATTGGTGAAGAATTTTTTTTAATTATACTTTAAGTTCCGGGATACATGTGCAGAACATGCAGTTTGTTACATAGGTATACACATGCCATGGTGCTTTGTTGCAGCCATCAACCTGTCATCCAGGTTTTAAGCCCCGCATGCATTAGCTATGTGTCCTAATGCTCTCCCTCCCCTTGCCCCCCACCCCTGACAGGCCCCAGTGTGTGATGTTCCCCTCCCTTTGTCCATGCATTCTATTGGTACAACTGCCACTTATGAATAAGAATATGTGGAGTTTGGTTTTCTGTTCCTGTGTTACGAATTTTTTTAAAATAAGAATTCTTAGTATTGGTTATAGAATGAGATAATAGGAATTCTTACATAATGTTTGTGGGAATGAAAATTGGTATGATTTTCTAGAAGGCAGGTTGGCAATACACATAGGAATTATTATAATGAACAGCTCAGCTATTTTAATACTTCTACTCAAAAGTTATTCTGAAAAAACAGTGGAGATTGTAAAATGATTTCTACAAAGGTTTATTCAAATTATAGATTTATTATGCTGCAAATTTGGAAACAATCTAAATGTCTATGATTAACTGATTAAATAATGTTACATCAATATAGAATGCTATGAAGCAATTAAAATGGTAGTATGTATTAGTATTTATTAACATGTAAAACATAAAAATTAAAGAAAAATCAGAATTTTGTATATGTACATGTTGTGATATAAATATATACATGTATACATACTGTGATATAAATATGTTATTTATATGCACATATTGTGATATAAATGTATATTACATATATGTACATATGATTTAAATGTTATATATGTACTTATTGATATAAATGTATATATTACATATATTTCTGACATATAAAGGTAATTTAGTGCATAGACAGTTTTTACTTTATACTTTCCTTGCAAATTCTAAATTTCTATAATGAACATGTATAGTTTTCATAATCAGATTCAAGGCATATATAGCATATATCATCACTCATCACTTGAGGAGTATCAAAGCCAGAGATACATATACATATGTGTATTCTACTCCATTTGCAACTTTTTTAATGTTTTTATGGGAATGCTATGCCAAATTAATGCACTTATGTGTTGGATTATCAGAATTGTACTCTTCCCATTTATACGAAAGATCCACCTCAAGCTAATGATGAGCACTATGTAGATGGAAGGTAAACCCACAAATGTTAGGCTGACACACTGAAGCCAACTGCCCAAAGCTAATTGTCATCTAAAGTGTGCTGCGTATGTTTTCAACAGTGGGAGAGTATATGAATAATTTCTATTAAAAATTCTGACATTCACAGGATTCTTTCACCTTCATAAACCAGTAAACAGGACAATAGATGTAGATGTCCTTCAGACGCAGGATGAATCATTCTACACAAACAACTGTTGGCCTGAATACCAGACCCCACTCCACTCTTAAATTCTATCAAGGCCCTGTGTAATTCTGAGGCAATGATTCAGATGTCATGGCCTTAATTGATGAGTACTACGAGGCCCTGTACTTAATTTCCTTGTGCCATTTCTCCATTAAAACCATGCTCTGGGTAGTTTTCTACAGGGCCCTAGAGAATCAGGGAATTCATTGAATTTGCTCTGCTGCATTAAAATAGGCAGTCCATTGGGTACCACTTATATTTCATCTCAGAGATCAATAGGACCCTCCATTCAATCCCAAAGAAATTCACAATCATCCTTCTTTTACATGAGACATTGAGTTAGTAGTCAGTTTAAATTTTATTCCCAAGTCTACAGAGATTCGTATCTTCAGGACAAGCTAGTCTTTTGGCCCTGATCAAAACTTCTGACAGAAAGGAAAGTACTGCTATGGATACTGACACCCTCTATGGAAAAGCAAGTATATTTCAGAAGACAGAAATACAAACAAACACTTAAGCCTTTTATTCCTGTTCTTATAAGAGATTAGATTAAATTTCCAAATTTCCACAAGCAAGAGCTTAATAAACAGTTGGATATATAAGTAAAAGCTCAATAAATGCCTTTAATATTATAGTAGGACTGTTTTTGAGATTAAAGCTGATTAGACAACTGAGTGGATTTGTTTGAGGCCAATGATAATATTTTCTTTGCCTAGAATAATGAAATGTGAAAGACAGTCATTCCTGGAAGAAAAGATGGTCTCTTTGTAAATGTAGTTAGAAATGATAGCCAAATACATGTGCTGAAAATTGTGTCTATTTACAGTAATATTCTTAATACTTCACACTCTCTAGACATAGCTCATCATTCTTCCCCAATACTGGTCAGGCATAAAAAATAAGACCAAATATGAAGCAAAATTGAGACCCATAACCAATGAAAAAAATTTCTGAGGAAATCAGCTAGTGCACACACAGTGTATTCTGCTATTTCAGTTGGACCTGCTGTTGGCTTTGACATAGATATGAGATGTTTTTTGATGATGGAGATTCAAGGCGTGTATACTTGAGCAGCGATGAGGCCCCAGATACACACGCATTATGCTATCAATTTTATATTACTTTGCTTTCAGGCAAGCAGATCTCAACAGCCCATCTTTATTTCAGGAAAAATAGTCAAACCCAATTTCACAGGTAAAACAAAGTCGGTTTTTGCCACAATATAGCCATATATAAACAGGATGCCTAGCCATGAAATAGAAAGTGCTTTTTTTCTTACACAGAAGGTCAAAGACATCTGGTCTCAATATTGTTTCATGTTCTGTTGGCAATAAAACATTTTCTCTGTTTGAAAACTAAAATGTTGAGCACAAGTTAGGAAAATTGCCAAGCTTGTCTTTGTTAACTGAGCTGAAATTTATTCTTAATATTTGTTCTCTTATAATTTAATAGCAATTTAACAATATCCAACTTCGTTTTAGCATTTTGCGTCAAAGTATAATAAAAAGATATGGTAAAGGGGCTTTTAGTGAAGGATAAAAACTTCATGAGCAAAAAGTCTCTATTTAAATGCTGTGGATGCTTATTTAGCTGTTTTTCTTCATTAAATATGAATTATAGCTCTTTAAATGCTGATTTGGAAATCAGGAAGGTTTAGTTTTACTCCACTGCTTTATATCCACAGGCAACATAAATCTATTTAAAAGCTGATTTAAGAAAGCAACTTGGGGAAGCAAATTGCTAGTGATTTGATCCCTTGAATTTTGCATGCTACATAATCAGAATCAGGTTTTACAGAGTACCAAAATGTTTATTTGAATGTGGTTGAAAAGACAATTATTTCTTAAAACACATAGAATGGCTAGTGGTAGAGTTTAGCACAGACTTACAATACCCCCACGAGGTATAGATAGAGTAGGGAGAGGGCCTGAAGACAATCTACCTGAAGGCAAGATTTTTTTGTTTTTTTTTAATAAAGGAATCCATCTCTTTGCTTCTTCATTGGAAAATATAGATAGCTATTAAAATTACAACCCCAGATGCAAAATACCTTTGAATTATAATTTCAATACTGAAAACAAACTATTTTTGTTAATACAGTATTAAACTAATAGTTTAGAATGGGACAAAATGTTATTATCATACACCTCATATAGCAATGTGATGACTTTGAGATCAGGACAAATCTAATTCACAGAGCCACCATTTCCAAGTCTTCCACAGGACAAAGTAAAGAAATGAGGTACACAGATCACTTTATTTCAAGACCATCCTATAATAACTTATTATCCAAAGTGACATGAAGAATTAATGGAATTGAAAAGTATTGTGTGGTATTGACAGTGTTGTTTGAATAGTTTTCTCACTCTAAGTGACACAAACTGATTTACTTCCCATTTGCATGCAAAAGAAAAACTGAGTTTCCATGCACAATGTAGTAACAAGAAATCACTCTTCTTCACTGTCTTACTGCAAGTCAAACGCTGGCTGAAATACAAAATAAAAAGTCAGAAGAGAAAAGGATGTTTAACGGTATTCTTTTAAAAAAAAAATTCAGGATGACCAGAGATACTTAAATTTCTCCTTTTGATTGAATGATCAAGAGTCCAGGAATGGATCATATGACTGTGTTAATTTTGACTACTTAGAACAGGCACATTCTATGTTAGCAATTCTGATAGCTTTTTGTTTGACTCACACATAAATCACCTTCACCAACCCACGATAGCACAGATAGACATTAGGTGCATCTTTTTGGAAATAAACAAAAGGTGGAAGTGGTGTATTTTCAGATACTTTCGTTATTGACTAGTAAACAAAGGTCAACCATTCACAGTTAAATCAATTCTATTTTGCTTTAAATTTTTTTAATTGTAAGGGAAAGGATAAATTACATTTCACAGCTGTTTGTACATCAAAGAACTGAACGTTTTTGGGATGGCCAACTATTCAAAAGTCTAGCTAAAGAAACCGCAAAAAAAAAAAATGCAAATTTTGAACTCAATTTTGTAACTGGGAATTATGGTAATCTTACAGCGAAATTCATGTTAATCTATAAAAGATTCTGCTGAATAAGGAGCCATCCAATCAGTGAGGAATGATGGTTGCAGAACTTATTTCATGGAAAATATAATCAAATTTCTCCTTTCTGTTCAATCTGAATCACTCTGGTCTTGTTTTAAAAGATATTCACACTGCTTTGCATGTCAAAACTAGAAATGTTGTACTGACTAAAATACTACTAATTTTAACATAAAGAATAGAGAAACCAAGTTTGAGGTAACAGAGAAATAGATGTGAAATGACATAGGTTATAAACCTTACCTAATAAATAATTGGAAAAGAACTATTATTATTAAATATAGACAAGATATAAATTAGCCAGGTTAACTAAATAACCAATCATTTTACTGAATAAATTATTCCCTCAATCCTCCCCCCAAAAAGTGTTTTTTATGGCAAACCATTGCTAAAGGAAGTTATTGTAACTTAGCAAAGTTTGTGTCAGTCATATCTAAGGATTTTCTTCACAAACTGGAGGAATTTGGTGAATTTTAGTAACAGTGGTAAGATTTTTTTATAACAAATTACCCATAGGTGGAGTCAATAAGATGTTAAGAGAGAGAGATAGTACTGTAGACTATTTGTGTCACCCCAAAATTTATATGTTGAGATCTAATCCCCAATGTGATGGTATCTGTTGCAGGGAGGGCCCTTGGGAAATGATTAGGTCATGTGGTTGGAACCCTCACAAATGAGATTAATATCTTTGTAAAGGTGACTCTGGAGAGCTCCCTCACCCCTTTAGCCATACGAGGACACATGGAGAAGACAAATGTCTATGAAGCAGGAAGCAGTCTCTCACTAGACACTGAATCTGCCTGTGCTTTGATTTAGGACTTCCCAACCTCCAGAACTATGAGAAATAAATTTCTGTTGTTTATAAGGCTAATCATTTAGTGCATGGCTCTAAATAGTGAGGAATAAATTAATTGTTATTTTTATTTTCAAGGGTCAAACAACTATCCCCCAACCTTCTTTCAGCTCAGCTTAAGCGTCTTCTTGAACCAGTTTCTATTCTGTGTATTCTGTGTACTGAATTCTGTCTCCTGTGATACCCAATCATACTTCACATTCTCATTGAGGCATCTCTACTTATGCCACCCTTGATTCTGATTCTTTTATCTTAATCTTTTTGTTCAGATTTTTTAAATGATTTGATCCATATACCCAGTTTCACTGAGGCACAGCTCAGAGTACACTCCATAGTGTGTGTATTTATATACCTAAGAGCTTTATTTGACTTACTTTAGTCCCACTTCATTCCACAATCAACTTGAGGTGGTTATAAAAGCTCACTATAAGTTGATATTTTTGTCAATTTCAACTGAGCCTGAAATATGTTTATTACTGTGTATTATCACTATTTATAGTACATAATACAATATAGTCTTACTGCTTTTCTGGGGGGTGAGACCAAAGGAAGAGAAGCAGTAGGTTGGAGGTGATTATAGAATGAGATATGCAAAAAATAGCCATACATATGCTAAAAAGGACAGCAAATCAAGTATAATGCTGAATTTCACTTCCTTTTGCTTTCTCCATTCCTTCAAGAAGTGACTTTAGTAAGAAGGTGTTAAGATCAGTTATGGAGGATAGGACTTAAAGTAGAAGCAATAAAGTTCCAGCCAATCCATATCAGCTCTGGTATATTTCACAACATCTTTGGGCCACTTTGGTAAAAATAAAAGTTCACTAAGCCTAGTATGCTTATTTCTTCTTGCATCTTCCTGGTCACTCTAATTCATTATAGAATATGAAAATAAAACACATATAAATATTTTATTTGAAAAACTTTGTTTTATCTCTGGATATATATCTTTAATTTTTTAAACGGATTCACAATACACTCAATTTAATTCAGCAAGGTTTTTGAGTATTTACTATATAATATGTAGTAAAGTGCCATGCTTTTTTCTTTTTTTTTTTTTTTTTTTTTTTGAGATGGAGTCTCACTCTGTCTGTCGCCCAGGCTGGAGTGCAGTGGCATGATCTTGGCTCACTGCAACCTCCACCTCACCCGGGTCCAAGCAATTCTCCTACCTCAGCCTCCTTAGTAGCTGGGAGTACAGGCATGCACTACCACACCCAGATAATTTTTGTATTTTCAGTAGAGACAGGGTTTCACCATGTTGGCAAGGCTGGTCTTGAACTCCTGATCTCAAGTGATTCGCCTGCCTCGGCCTCCCAAAGTCCTGGGATTACAGGCATAAGCCACCACGCCCAGCCCTTAAAGTGCCTTTTAAAGTGTAGACTTTCAGCAAACTTAGCATTTAATGTGAACAAGTTATCTATAAAAAGATAACTTAGGCCAGGAACAATGGCTCATGCCTGTAATCCCAGCACTTGGGAGGCCGAGGTGGGCGGATCACCTGGGGTCGGGAGCTCGAGACCAGCCTGACCAACATGGAGAAACCCCATCTCTACTAAAAATATAAAATTAGCCGGGTATGGTGGCACATGCCTGTAATCCCAGCTACTCGGGAGGCTGAGGCAGAAGAATCGCTTGAACCCAGGAGACAGAGGTTGTGGTGAGCTGAGATCGCACCATGGCACTCCAGCCTGAGCAACAAGAGCGAAACTCCGTCTCAAAAAAAAAAAAAAAAAAAGATAACCTAGGCCCAGAGTTGCTCAAAGATCATAATCTATAATAGTAGACACAAGTCAAGGACAAAAATTATAATTGCTATATTATCAGAATAGTATAATTCTCAATTTAATTCTAAAGAAGACTTGTAATAATTTAGAGAAGGGACCATTCAATAGAACAGGACAGCAGATCTAAATCCCAAAGCCACCTTCATGGAGACAATATTTGAAAAAGAAAAAAATTAGCTGATGAGCAGGAGATAAGAGGCCTAAAAAAAGATCCACAGAAGTGGCCAGGCATGGTGGCTCATGCCTGTAATCCCAGCACTTTGGGAGGCCGAGGTGGGTGGATCACGAGGTCAGGGGTTCGAGACCAGCCCAGCCAACATGGTGAAACCCCATCTCTATTAAGATACAAAAACTTAGCTGGGCATGGTAGCATGTGCCTGTAATCCCAAGCTACTCAGGAGGTTGAGGCAGGAGAATCACTTGAACCCGGGAAGTGGAGGTTGCAGTGAGCCAAGATCACACCATTGCACTCCAGCCTCGGCGACAGGGTGAGGCTCCATCTCAAAGAAAAAAAAAAATCCACAGAAGCAAGAGTGCACATTTGTCTTGATTAGTGTGGCAGTCATTAGGGCTATTGATTGAACATATTCAGTGACCTTTCTTAGGGTATACAATAGGATTGCACTTCCTTGTCCCTTAGAAGTTGGGCTTTACCATATAACTTAGTTTGATAAGTGAAATCAGCACAGAAGCGATACGAATCTTTTCTGGGTGGAAGTTTTAAGCACCATGTTGTGAATAACCACATTCTCTTGCCCCTGCTGAAGAAATGTGAGAAGTATGAGTTGAGGTGCGTCCTCTGTGTGTCAGACTGTGCCCATGAGTGACCACGAGAAATAGAAGCTCCAGTTAATCTTTGATGGGCAACAACTTCTGTGGTTATAAACTCCCTTAAAAAATCTTTTTGGAAGGCACAAGATGAAAAAAGCCACTGAAGAAAGAGTAACATTATTTATAGAAATATAGAAAAATAAATATCATGAAAAGCATGAAGGGAGGGTTTAAAAAAAAAAAGCTTCAAACATACCCAAGCTGCTGATGGATAGGGATGAGGAAGAGGAGGTAGAGAAGGATGAAAACTAAAACAAACAAGAAAGTTGTGTCTGAGAGGCCATCTATTATCCATGAAAGAGGGGATTCTGTGGTGGGGGAACCACAGTGTCAGGGCATAGCAAGTCAGTAAAGAGGAGTTAGACATGCAAGACCAGAACATGGAGACTATTATATTGAGGAGTTTGTGAAAAAAGGGATGCAATAGAAATAGTTTGGGAATAAAGGAAGAATTTTTGTTTTGTTTATAAAATAAAGAAAAACTTAAGTATGTTTAAAGTAGAAGAGAAACTGTCAATAAAGAGGGAAAGATAAAAGGTGCAAAATAAGAAGGAAAGACAGAAATATCCCAGAGAGTTGAAAGGAGATAAGGTCAGGGAACAGGTTGCAGCATTCACCTCAGATGATAGAGAAATGGAAGTATAATGGAGAGGAAACACTTTTAAGGAAGGTCAACTTGGATGACCTTGTCTTCTCATTAAAGTAGAAGGTCAGATTGTTCAAAAAAAGGAAGGAGGAAATGGGGCTCAAATGAGAAGGTTTGGAGGATCTGTTTCAGGGAGTGTGATGTAGAGCCTGCCGCTAGGGGAAAGATGGTGTAAATGTGTGGTAAGTCCACTGAGTACTGATTCTGTAATTGTACCTCGTACTGATGATACAGTACATTATAGTAAATAATTATTTGCTCAATGTCCTATTCAGTCCCAGTGACTGACCTGGTTTAAATATAAACTGATGTATCATTGAAAATTCATTCATAACTCCAAGTCAAGTCATTCCTTAGGTAACTTGTCACTCTCTAGTAAGGATTCTGGGACTCTAGATATCTAGTTAACAATTTACATTTGTATTACATTTGATAAATTTAATTGTCAGGAAGCTGCTGTAAATTATACAGTATTTAATAGTTGAATAAAGGGAGGATCCCTGACTTGATTAAGGCTTCATAGGTAATAAATTACACAGCCAAGAATAAAACTCAGTCTTTATTTGCCAAGTCCAGAATAAGAAATTGTATTTCTTAGAAATAAGCACAAGAACTGATGGTGACTGTAAACCCACTTATTTAAAATATTAAAGAGGGAATTATGGATGACTATTTTAGTAAATTATATAATTGTATTAGCCCATTCTCACACTGCTAAAAAGAAATGCCCAAGACTGAGTAATTTATAAAGAAAAGAAGTTTAATTGACTCACAGTTCCACATAGCTGGGGAGGCCTCAGGAAACTTACAATCACGGCAGAAGGAAAAGAAGCACATCTTACATGGTGGCAAGTGAGAGAGATCAGGGAAAACTGCCTTATAAAACCATCAGATCTCATGAGAACTCACTCACCATCATGAGAACAGCATGGGGGAAATCGCCCCATGATGCAATCGCCTCCCACAAGGTCCCTTCCTCTACACTTGGGGATTATGGGAATTACAATTTGAGATGAGATATTGGTGGGGACACAGAGACAAACCATATCATTTGGCCACCAGTCCCTCCCAAATAGGTTTCACATTTCAAAACCAATCATGCCTTCTAAACAGTCCCTCAAAATCTTAACTCTTATTTCAGCATTAACTCAAAAGTCCACAATCCAAAGTCTCATCTGAGACAAGGCAAATCACTTCTGCCTATGAGTCTGTATAGTCAAAAGCAAGTTACTTCCTTCCTAGATATAATGGGGGTACAAGCATTGGACAAATGCTCCCATTCCAAATGGAAGAAATTGGCCAAAATGAAGGTGCTACAGGCCCATGCAAGTCCAAAATCTAACAGGACAGTCACTAAATCTTAAAGCTCCAAAATGATCTCCTTTGAATCCATGTCTCCCATCCAGGTCACCCCAATGCAAGAAGTAGGCTCCAACGGCCTTGGGCAGCTCTTCCTCTGTGGCTTTGCAGGGTACAGCCCCTCACCCTGGCTGCTTTAATGGCTGGCATTGAGTGTCTGCAGCCTGGGTGCATGGTGCAAGCTGTTGGTGGATCTACCATTCTGAGGTCTAGAAGACAGTGGCCCTCTTCTCTCAGCTCCACTAGGCAGTGCCCCAGTGGGGACTCTGTGTGGGGGCTCTGACCCCATACTTCCCTTCCACACTTCCTTAGCAGAGGTTCTCCATGAGGGCTCCACCCCTGCAGCAGACTTCTGCCTGGAAATCCAGGCATTTTCATACATCCTCTGATGTTGAGGTGGAGGTTCTCAAACCTCACTTCTTGACTTCTGTGCACCCACAGGATCAACACCATGTGAAGCTGCCAAGGCTTGGGCCTTGCACCCTTGGAAGCAACAGCCTGATCTGTGCATTGGCCCCTTTTAACCACATCTGGGATGCAGGGCACCCAGTCCTGAAGCTGCACAGAGAAGCAGTGGGGCCCTGGGCCCAGCCCATGAAACCACTTTTTCCTTCTAGGCCTCAGGGCCTGTGATAGGAGGGGCTGCCATGAAGGTCTCTGACATGCCCTGAAGACATTTTCCTTATCTTCTTGGCTATTAACATTCGACTCCTCATTACTCATGCAAATTTCTACAGCTGGCTTGAATTCCTCCCGAGAAAATGGGTTTTTCTTTTCTACCACATGGCTTGGCTGCACATTTTCCATACTTTTATGCTCTGCTTCTCTTTTGAACATAAGTTCCAATTTCAAACCATCTCTTTGTAAACTCCTAAGACTGAATGCTTTCAAAATCAACCAGGTCACCTCTTGCATGTTTTGCTCCTTAAAAATTTCTTGCAAAAGATTCCCTAAATCATCTCTCTCAAGTTGAAAGTTCCACAGATCTCTAGGGCAGGGGCAAAATGCTGCCAGTCTCTTTGCTAAAGCATAGCAAGAGTGACCTTTGTTCCAGTTCGCAAGAAGTTCCTCATCTCCATCTGAGACCACCTCAGCCTGGACTTTATTGTCCACATTGTTATCAGTATTTTGGTCAAAACCATCGAACAAGTCTCTAGGAAATTCCAAACTTTCCCACATCTTTCTGTCTTCTGAACCCTCCAAACTGTTCCAACCTCTGCCTGTTACCTAGTTCCAAAGTCGCTTTCACATTTTCAATTATCTCTATAACAGTAACCCACTACCTCGGTACCAATTAACTGTATTAGTCTGTTCTCACACTGCTATAAAGAACTGCCCAAGACAGGGTAATTTATAGAGAAAAGATGTTTAATTGACTCAGTTCCTCATGGCTGTGGAGGACTCAGGAAACACAATCATGGCAGAAGGAGAAGAAGCAGATCTTACATGGCAGCAGGCAAGAGAGAGCAAGGAAGAGCAGGGAAAAGTGCCTTAAAAAATCATCAGATGGCCAGGCGCAGTGGCTCATGCCTGTAATCCCAACACTTTGGGAGGCCAACGTGGGTGGATAACCTTAGGTCAGCAGTTTTAGACCAGCCTGGCTAACATGGCAAAACCCCATCTCTACTAAAAATACAGAAAGTAGCTGGATGTGGTGGCATGCGCCTGTAATCCCAGCCACTCAGGAGGCTGAGGCAGGAGAATCACTTGAAACCGGTAGACAAAGGTGCAGGGAGCTGAGATCACGCCACTGCCCTCCAGCCTGGGCAACAAGAGTGAAACTCCATCTCAAAAAAAAAAAAAAAAAAATACCATCAGATCTCCTGAGAACTGACTCACTAATCACAAGAACAGCATGGGGAAAATTGCCACCATGATCCAATCACCTCCCACCTCCCATGAGGTCCCTCTTTCAACACACTGGGGTTGAAAGATCTTATGGGGATTACCATTTGAGATGCGATATGGGTGGGGACACAGAGCCAAACCATATCAATAATGATTCAGGGTGAAAAATCCTTCTACGCTGAAGGCATGAATCTAGGCCTCAGAACCACCTATATCTCTTGGACCACTGTGGGGGAGACCTATAACCCTTAAACTAAAATAGAAATAAATGACTTTTACAGTGGAACCATAGTGGGATGGCACTGGGGAAATGTTTTGAGCTTTCTAACCCCTTTTCAGTTCTTGGCTGATGAATGCTGATTAAAAAAAAAAAAAAAAAAGTCCAGGCTGGGCACGGTGGCTGATGCTTGTAATCCCAGCACTTCGGGAGGCCGAGGCGTGTGGATCACAAGGTTAGGAGTTAGAGACCATCCTGACTAACATGGTGAATCCCTGTCTCTACTAAAAATACAAAAAAACAAAAAAATTAGCCAGGCGTGGTGGCGGGCGCCTGCAGTCCCAGCTACTCGGGAGGCTGAGGCAGGAGAATGGTGTGAACCCGGGAGGCAGAGCTTGCAGTAAGCCGAGATCGCGCCACTGCACTTTCAGCCTGGGTGACAGAGCAAGACTTTCTTATCAAAAAAAAAAAAAAAAAAAAAAAAAAAAAAATCCAACAAAGAAAAAAAAAGAAGAAATACAACATAACACCCAATGGAAATAAAAATTCCACCTTTCTCACCCAAACCTCCTCTATTCTGATATTTTAATTCCATTAAGATTATGAAGAAAAATGAAATCTCTCAGAGCCTAATGCAAAATTGTGCTCCAGACTTACTTGTTTATCCCTTTGTAGCAATATCAGACGCTGCTCAAAAGAGGCAAGCAAAATAGCATTTTGTAGTTTATGAAGAAAATTATTCTCTAATTTTTTTCAGAATTCAAATGAAAGCTGTGGTTTGAAGCCAGTGAAACAGAATTACATGTGAAGTTTAGAAGGGATTAATTTCATAAATTTCTTAAGTTGTTGACGGAACCATCTGGCAGTTTGAGAGATAACCATTAAAGTCTATACAAAAAAAATGCCTTTTTGTAAGATTATAATGACTGAATATTATAACAGCAGGAGAATAAAAACTAATGCATATTTTATCATTGAAAACAAATGCTCTGGACTTTAAAAGGCATGTGGGATTTCTGCTCACTTCTAAAGGAAAGCAACTAATGAGTGATGCACATCTACAACAGCCTCAGAGGTACCGCTTCATTTGATCCTCATGGAGGGCTGCAAAGAAATTATCACCTGCACTTTTCTGAGGAGGAAATTATAACCCAGAGAAGTTAGGTGATATTCAATGTACTACAAAGTGTAAGCCATATGCATAAAATTTGAACTAAGATTAGTATTGCTAAAACACTACATGCTGGTAAATCATACTACCTTTTGAAAAAATTAATACTATGTATCAGATAGTTGTAGATGAGGACCAGAGATTTTATTGTAATTACCTATGAAGATGTTTCTGGCCAGTCTGGCAGTCAGTGATTTACCAAATGTTTTCACAAAAGTTCTCCTGTTAGTTTGTCAGTACATCCTGACTAAGCTTCATTATCATTACTATTTTAAGGAAGAGAATATATTCCAGTTCAAGGTAATTTGACCCACAGACAAAAACAATGCTTCTTAAACTTGGATACATGTCAGAACCTTCTAAGATTCCAACAAAACGTACAGATACTTGGGCCAAAAAGATGGCTCTCTGAGAAAGGTCCATGTATGCTTATGTGTAGTTTTGTAAAATATCCAGGAGCCTCTTAAAATTGAGATCTACTAAAATAGGGTTGTCTCAATGTAGAAAAATGCTCAAGCAGCCTAGTCAAGCTGGAATGCCTGGAATTGAATTCCAGCTTCAGCATATGTGGAATGTGCAACCTTAGGCAAATTAATCTTTTCTGAATCAGTTTTCTCACCTGAGAAATGGGGGTAATTAATAATGCCTATGTCACAAGTTCTTACGAGGACAAATGAAAGTGTATGTACTGAGAAGGATATCTGGCACATCCTAAGTGCCTAATGATAGCAATTGTTAATCCAATACATTATTTAAGGAGGCACAGCTGGAGGGCTTCATAATCCTTTCTGTGAATCAGGTAGCCACTGCAAGCTATCTGTTCCTCTTTCAAAACAAGGCCACTTCCCATAGACATCCATTATGTCTCAATAGATGCATGAAATGTCAGGCAGGAATCAGGTTTTTAATTACATTAATGATGCACAGAGGGACAAATTTTTATCTGCTACTGTGGATGACCCCAGCTGTCTTTTCCTGTGCAGCCCCTTTATACCTTCATCTCGGATTTTCACAGCGCCTGCTCTAATACCTCAGCCAATTTTTTCCACGGCTCATTCACAGCACAGCTCTAGCAAGTAATGTCAATATTTTCTTTACACAGCTTTCAAGAGTGATTTAAAATGCCAATGCAGCATATTACTCATATCCTAGGCATTTCTCTAACACAGCTCCTATGAGCTATACAAATGGTGCACTTGGAGCCAATCTTACATAGCCTTGTCCTGGTTACTGGAGATTGCACAGGTTCAGCAATTTGACAAGGGTCACACAGCCAGTAAGCCACAGAGCTGGGACTCCTAAACCCATACACTATACTTTGCCAAGTGCAGCACCAGTCTCCTCAACTGTCCAGAGAACTTCTCTCCAATGTCCTAGAAGCTTTGCCCGTATTCTTCACTTCTCATCCTCACTCCCATCTGTGCTCTCTGCATAGACCTTGCCCATGCTACCACAGTTCCGAAGCCTTAATGTTTGTTACTGAAATACATGCTGGGTTGGAGATTGGTTCTAATAGTCTCTCTAAACTACTTCCTTTCCATCTTTCCGAACTTACCACTACTTCACAACCATTCTCACATATCACCCCGATTCCTGACATCTCCAAAGTTCATCCTGATTTCCAAAAATTATTTGTCTCTCCTTTTGCTGCATTATATGCCTGCAACTTCTTCTCCCTAAGTTGACCTTTCATCTGCAATGATTATCTCCTATCATTCAAGACATCTCTCAAAGCCACTAACAACTGAGAGTGGAGACAAAGAATGGGATTTCTGTATTTTTTTGCTGCTGAATCATGAATTTGTTTTGAATTAATAAATAGATGGATAATTCCTTTTGGTTTTCTGTAAGATTTTCCTAATATAAACCAACAAGTAACTTCAGGCTTATTTAAACAACTGATACCTGGGGCACGCCAGTGTCAGTGACTGGCACATGGCATGTTCTACACTGCTCACAGAACATGGCTATAAAATATCACTCTATTTCCTCATAATTTTATTAATCAGTCAGGCATTTGGCAAACACTTATGAAATGCTGTCTGTGTGCCAGGCACTGTTCTTGATGTTAGGGCACTACCCTGAACAGTAGACATGTATTCTGCTCACATGTAATTCCTATTAATAATAAAAAGCTATGGAAGAAATAAAACCAGATATTATGATAGCGCGTGAATAGGAGAGGCTAATTAAAAAGGTAGTCAGGAAGATATATCTCAAAAAGTGGTGTCTGAGCTGAGGTTTGAACTATGAAGAACTACCAAAGCAAAGAGGATTTTTTTTTTTTTTTGGAGTGAGTGGAGTAGGGCGGGAGGAGGTATTTCAAACAAAAGAAAAGCAAGTCAGAGGTAGAAAGAAACTTAAATTTCTTGGAGTAAACAATAGGAGACCAGGATCGGTAGATGATAATGAGCCAGGCTTGCAGCGGTAAAGATGAAGTCAGCCAGGTGAGAAGGAGGCAGACCCTTCAGGGCCTTATAGGCTAGGGTAGCAGGTTTAAACCTATGGAGCTTAAAGTGGCAATGATCTGATTTTTTTTTTAAGGATAATAAGGGTATTAGGGCGCTATGTATGTGGGAAATGGATAGGGTGGAGATGAGAGTAGAAGCACAGAAGAGGCTACTGTAGCAGTTTATGAGCAAGAGGAGGGCCTTAATCCTGAGCAAGCTACATTTTTTTAATACAGTATTCATTAAAAAAAAAACAGAGTTTGGCTTTGCAATAGTAGAGTTGCTATGGCTCCAGTTGTTTTGTCCATTATTTGAATGTAAAGACACTCAGTATAAGAGCTCTCAAAAAGCCTTCATCCTCCTCCATCAATTTTTTAGAATCTTTTCAAGGAGAAAAAACAATTGGATTTATTAACTCAGCCAGCTTACACTCATAATTGGCATCAATTCTGCACAGGGAAGTCAGTGCAACCCCAGAACCCAGGGCTCCTCCCTGTATGCTGTCATCTCATTGGCCTTAATGCACCTGCTTCACTGTTTCCATAAAGCAAGAGTTTCAGCAAGGAAAGGGTCATTATAGCATGTTCTTTGTGCTGGACACTCTATGAGTGACTCTGAGAAATAGAACAACAAGCAAAACCCTTGGGAGTGCTTAGGTTTCCAGTCGTGCCTACTTAATGATAATCAATTTAACTAAGAGATGTTTCTTATTAAAATTTCCTTGAGAAAATTCCCTCTCTCCTGGCAGTAATGACTTATTTCTGAACTGTCATCAACTTGTTAACATTTTAACTAAATGGGAGTAGAAATTTCTAAGGATTATTAGTGTTTTCACCTAGAGTAAACATATCAATTAACGTTCTGGGATAAATAATGAGGATTAATAATATCAGGGCGGAAAGTGATATTCTGTGAAGTTTAGGGTTCTCTTTTGCCTACTTACCATATTAACAGCCAGAGGGTGAGCACAATTCCTATTTTTTCATTCATAGAATTCCAGAACTGGGCAACAAAAAAATGAAGATCTGGCTAGGGTAAGTGTCACATTTGAAACCTGCATTGTTATGTGTAGACAATACAGAGGGTTCTGAGGAAAATGATAAAGAATTGATCCAGCTGGCCGCAGTGGTTCACACCTGTAATCCCAGCACTTTGTGAGGCTGAGGCAGGCAGATCACGAGGTCAGGAGTTTGAGACCAGCCTGGCCAAAATAGTGAAATCCCATCTCTACTAAAAAAAAAAAAAAAAAAAAAAAAAAAATTACAAAAATTAGCTAGGCGTGGTCATGGGCGCCTATAGCTACTCAGGAGGCTGAGGCAGGTGAATCACTTGAACCTGGGAGGTGGAGGTTGCAGTGAGCCAAGACTGAACCACTGCACTCCAGCCTAGGTGGCAGAACAAGACTTTGTCTCAAAAAAAAAAATTAATTAATTAAATTAAATTAAATAAATTGATCCGCAAGTTCAAACCAAAATTTGTACCAAAAAAAAAAAATGCTACCTGCTTAATTCAAATGAAAGTAAATCAGATGTTTGTGAAAGAAACTGAATGGCACAGCAAAATAGACTGAAAAAGTTCCTTCAATATTAATACCAGTTTTAGATTATTTGTTTACCTGCTTAAACGATTCATTTATACATGAAAGAAAAAAAGTGTTTTAAGTAATAAGATAATTGTATATAATTGAGAAGAAATTATTGCAGGATTCCTAATAGGATACAGAGCAGTCTTTATCAAAACTGACAGAAGGTTAATATTAAAAGAACCTCAGAATGTCCTGTGAATATGGCAGATTTTATTGTTATATCCTCATTCATTTTTATGATAAAAGTTCCAACAAAATATACTAGTAGAATTGATTAGGCTTATTACTTGCCACAGAATTTAGGGAAAGTAAGAACTAATTAAAGACAAGAGAATCTCAGAAACATTAACAAATTACTTTTCAAAGATTTAAAAATATTGTCGAATTATGAACATATATTATAAAATTCCACACAATATAGTGAAAATATATGTGATTTGAATAGTAGAAATACTAGGAGAGAAATTTTCAGCATCTTTCATAAGCTGTTCCTTCATTCTTCCATTTTTTAATGAACGCATGAATTAAGGGATTACTATGGGCCAGGCATGGTCCTGGAAACTGAGAACACAAAAGAGAATGAGACAAATCTCCCATCAAGGATCTTTTAATTTAGAGTAGTTGTTCTTAACATATGAACACACACCACATATCACGTGTAATTACTTTCAGAGTAGTTACTCTGAATACCACAACTGGAATTTGAGAAAGCCACCACACTAAGGTTAAATGTGTAACACTCACCTATGGACTAAGATACTCGTTGTATACTGGGTTAGGAAATGACAAACTTGGGGAAGAAAAAGGCAAGATGCCACCATCCCAACCACTCTGCATTCCAATGTTCCATAGAGAACACTGATTCTTGCTGGCTGGTGATGTGTTTTAACTAAACTAGTGGTTCAAACAAACACAACTGGGTCAATTTTGTTTGTCTACTGCACACAAGAAGGAATAAATACTATCAGGCAGAAAGAAACCATCCACCCAGTCAAAGACCCAGAGGGCCCACTGAGCTGCCCAAAATTCTGTCTTCCCTCTGTGTCAGCTTGGTACATAGGCTAATTATCTTTATAAATATCTATAATTTCAAATTCATTCTAGCTGCCCCAAAACTTATCTTACACAATTCTAAATGTTTTAGAGGATTATGAGTCTCATGATAAAATAAGAATATATTTACAAAATGAACTATCTTATGTTTTGAATATGTTTCAGTGTGCTGATTTTTATCTCTGTCTGCAACCTGTTGGCATTTATAGTCTGTACTATACAATTGCTTATATTTTCCATCTTTCTATTTCTTTCTGTTTATTGGTTTGCCTTTATTTTCAGCATAAATAGGAGTTCCTTCATGGTAGAGTTAATTCAGTCTCTTCTTTGTATCTCACATACTTTAGGATAGCACATATAGCATGTGGTAAGAGTTTTAGAAGCAATAGTGATGGATAGTATATAATCCTTTTTCATAGAGTCTGAACTGTGTATGCATGCATATGTATTTATTTAATATGTGTGTGTATTTAACAAATATATATGTATTTAACATTTATTTAATAAACACATATATGTCTGTATGGCACATATTTGTTAAATAAACAAACATAATCTTAGATAGAAAGTGATAAATTTATCACTCATTGTTATTTTCACCATTGCACCATATAGAAAATAAGTTTCTCTACTATCACTGTTTCATAGTTTTTTTAGTCTATACATTCCCTCACATTTTCCAAGTATACAGCTTTCTGAATTTATAGTATAATTAATAATATTTCAATTTTATTTCTGATTGTAAAATATCTCTCTAAACCAATACGCATGCAGTTGGATAAAATAAAAATAAATGATATCCTTAGTCAAATTATTAACTTCAGAAAGAACAGACATTAACAATAGTATTATGTTAAATAATGATGTTTCTGGCTACAACAACATAACAAAAAATATAAATACAAAATATGAAAAAATATATAACAGAAGGATAAAATATTTATAGATGTTATTATGCTACTTCTGGACACAGAAGATACGAGAGAAAAACAAATAAAATCAATAGTTCAATAAGGTGTCCTGTTATTAAAATTACATATGTGCGAATAATAATTAGAACAGATAATAAAAACTGTATCACATGCACATAACTATACAAGGCTTGGGAATAAACAAAATAACTATAGAGTCTAGTAAATATTTTTTTAAAACTACAAAAATATACTGAAAGACACATAAAAGGTGACTTCATTCAGGATTAATTAATGATCCTAAATAGCAAATTTAATTTTTATACATTAAATACTTGGTAATTCTCCAAATGTTAATCTACAATTTGATTTCCAGTAAAACTTTCAAGATGACCTTAAAATTTAACAAAGTTTCTTCTGAAGAAAAAATAATTATCAAACTACTGAAAAATAAATAAAGGAAGAGTGAACAGTGCAGGAAGGTTGGCTCTGCATGTGTATCGGAGGTGCAGAAGCAGGTTTACCCTGACGTGGAGAACTTTTTCGAGTTTCTACACTTCTCCATCCTGCCCTGATCTCTCAAGCCTGGCATCAGAGGCGTTCCCAACACCTTCCTAGCACCAACCTCGCTCCAAAAATCTCCCCAGAGAAAAGTGCCATCTGCTGCTAATGGCAGATTAGGGGCTTTGTAAGCGCACTTCACTCACTTGAAAACTGCAAAATAACATGTAGAGATTCACACTTTGAACTTTTATTCAAGAAGGAATATGGGAGTACAACATAAGAGTGAAAAAGATTTTGCACGCTTTCAAGTATGTAGCAGGCAGTAGCCTGCATTGCTGATCTGGAAAATCACGAGTGGGACCGCAGTGCATGAGACAGGGGAGAGATATGTCCACAGTACACATTCCCATTGGGGAGCCAGGCAATCTAGGCCACAGGGGAGCTCCTTGACCCCTGTGCTGGATATGACATGGGGAGCAGTCAACAGACTGAGAAGGAGCAACAGTGGGAAGTAGACTGTATGTGCTCCCACAACCCAGTGCTGATACAAGGAGGTCATTCTTGATCCTAATTCATAGTGGGCTGCTGAGGAACTTGCCAGCCAGCATGACAGGCAGTCACTGGTTCGAAGAGTCTCCAGAGGTTTGTGATCTAGTCTCAAGTAAGGGAGGAGCCGGAACCCCATAGCCGGAACCCCATAGCCAGAACTGAGAGGTGAGTGTGGCATGGGCTCCAGCCACAGGCACAAAAATTGAGTGCCTGCCCCTTCCCTGCCCAACCTTGTGGGATCAGACCGGGAAGGGTGTGTCCTGGGATACATGGGTTCTTATCCCATGCAGAGAGTTTTGTGTCCTGCGGCAATTTCTTAACCTGAAGACCAATTGCTTATGACTTGACTCAATGCTTCAGCATGCTGCCAGCAGTGGGAGAAAGCCTTGACAGGTTCAAGACCATAGGAAGAGATGCATTCCACTACCACCTGCTAGACTGCAGAGCCTGAGCTGCCCCTCTTTCCCCATGCTGGCTCTTTGGCACAGTAGCAGTTGCTTCGCTCTTTGTTGGAGTGTTGCTCCAGGGGCCCGAGGACTGCCTTCTGGCCCATATCAGGGACAGTGCTTATGCCTGCCATTGGAGGGCTCAAGCACTTGCCAGGCCCAGCCCCACTTGGCTTTTCCCCACCTATACACCTCAGACGCAGAACACAGGACCAGGACAACTGGGAGTTCCATGGACCAGCCCATTGCCTGAAACACCCAAGTATTCCTCCTGGTTAACAAAGATCATGAATAAATACTACTGCAACTACAGCAGCTGGCTCTTACCTGTAAGGGACACTCACTGGCCAGGACGTCAACCTGCACAGCCCATTACATCTGCTGACACAATTGCACAGGACTCAGGAAGGAGACAAGCTTTGCATGACCTCTGCTACCACCATTGTTCATGCCACCCTAGGTACTGACGAGGCCTTGATCCCACTCACCCACGCAGTACATTACTACTACAACTAGAATTTAAGGAAGCCACCACACTAAGGTTATCTGAGGGGGAAGAAAAAGTAGTAAGTTTGAGAAACCTATTTAAGGAAATACTTGATGAATACTTCCCTAGTCTTTCAAGACACTTAGACATCCAGATACAAGAGGCTCTGTGAACTCTAGGAAATACATTGCAAAAAGAACTTTACCAACACATATGGTCGTGAGACTTTCTAAAGTCAATATGAAGGAAAGAATTCTAAAATCAGCAAGAGAAAAGTGTCTAGTCACCTGTATTAGTCCATCTTCACACTGTTATAAAGAAATACTTGAGACTGGGTAATTTATAAAGGAAAGAGGTTTAATTGACTCACAGCTCTGCATGGCTAGGGAGGCCTCAGGAAACTCACAATCATGGCGGAAGGGAAAGCAGGTACATCTTACATGGTGGCAGATGAGAGAGAGCAGGCAAGAGCGCAGGAAAACTACCATTTCTAAAACCATCAGATTTCCGAGAATTCAGTCACTATTATAAGAACAGCATGGGGGAAACAACCCCCATAATCCAATCGCTTCCCACCAGGTCTCTCCCTCAACACC
Source organism: Homo sapiens (assembly GCF_000001405.40). Taxonomy (NCBI): domain Eukaryota; kingdom Metazoa; phylum Chordata; class Mammalia; order Primates; family Hominidae; genus Homo; species Homo sapiens. The sequence goes on from NC_000005.10 coordinate 118,334,166, forward strand.
TGGGGATTACAATTCAAGATGAGATTTGAGTGGGGACACAAAGCCTAGCCATATCATCACCTATAAAGGAAAACCCATCGGATAACAGTGGACTGATCGGCAGAAACTATATAAGCCAGAAGAGATTGAGGTCCTATTTTCAGAGCTTGGAAAAAAAAAAAACTATGAAACACAAATCTTATATACTGCTGGAACAAGCTTGATAAACAAAGGAGATACAAAATTATTTCCCAGAGAATCAAAAACTGAGGAAATTTGGCCCTACTAGACCAGTCCTACAAAGAATGCTCGAAGGACTTCTAAACATAATAATGAAAGGTTAATATTCACCATCATTAAAATACACCAAGCTATACAACTCGCAGGTTTTATAAAACATTTACACCCAGAAAAAAAAGAAAGAAATTACATGGAAACATGGCAGAACTCCACTAAATGACAAAGACAAGGAGACAGAGAAATAAAATAGAAACAACCCACAAAACAACTAGACAGCAATTAACATTATAACAGGAATGAAACCTCACATATCAATACTAATCTTGAACATAAATAGACTAAATCCTTCACTTAAAAGATATAGATTGGTGGAATGAATAAAAAAAGTAACCAATGATATGCGGCTTATAAGAAATTCGTCCTACTGGTAAAGACACTTATAGACTGAAAGTAATGGGATAGAGAAAGATATTCCACACAAAGAGAAAACAAAAGTAAACGGAAGTAGCTATACTTATATCAAATAAGACAGACTTTGAATCAAAACCAGTAATAAAGGACAAAAAGTCGTTATATAATGATAAAGGGATCAATTAAACAAGAGAATATAACAATTCTAAATATATATGGATGTAACACCAAAAAATAAATAGACCTTTAATTAGACCAAATAGACTTAACAGACATTTACAGAAGATTCTACCCAACAACCATAGAATATACATTTTTTCTTATAAGCACATGGAATATTCTCCAAGATAGCCCAATATTAGGCCATATAACAAGTCTCAGTAAATTTTTAAAAACTGAAAGCATACCAAGTAATTTTTCATGTAACAGTGGAGTAAAACTAGAAATCAATACCAAGAGAAACTTTGAAAACTACACAAATACAAGGAAATTAAACAACATACTCCTGAACAATCACTGGGTCAATGACAAAAGATGAAAATTTAAAATTTTTCGAAACAAATGAAGATGGTGATGCAACATACCAAAACCTCTGAGATACAGCAAAAGTGATCTTAAGATGAAAGTTATAGCATTAAATACCTATGTCAAAAAATGGAAAGATCACAAAATAACAACATCATTCCTCAAGGAACTAGAAAAACAAGAGCAAATGAAATCCATAGCTAGCAGGAAAAAATAAATAACAAAGATCAGAGCAGAACTAAATAAAATCAAGAGCAAAAATACAATAAGGTGAATTAACGAAATTAAAATTTGGTTCTCTGAAAATACTAAAGAAAAAAAATGATGAATAACTAGCTAGACTAACCAAGAAGAAGCGACAGAAAAGCTAAATAAATATAATCAGAAATTAAAAAGGAGACATGACAACTGACACCTGAGAAATATAAAAGATCATCAGAGACTACCATGAACAACTCTATCCCATAAGCTACAAAATCTAGAGGAAATGGACAAATTCTTGGAAAATACAATCTCTCAAGAGTGAACCAGAAAGAAGTAAAAATCCTGAACAGACTAAAAACAAGTAGTGAGATTAACGCAGCAATAAAAAAATCTTCCAACGAAAGAAAGCCCCAAACCAGATTCTACCAGATGTACACAGAACTGGTACCAATAGTACTCAAAACATTCCAAAAAACTGAAGAGAAGGGAATCCTTCCTAATTCACTCTCCAAAGTGAGTATCACCCTGATGCCAAAGCCAAACAAATAAGGAGAACTACAGACCAATATCTCTGATGAACACAGATGTAAAAACCCTGAATACTAGCAAACCAAATCCAACAGCACATCAAAAAAATAAATAAATAACATGTTATACACCACGGCAAGCTATTTTTTATTCTAGGGATGCAAGGATGATACAACATACACAAATAAATAAATGTGATTCATCACAAAGCAGAAGTAAAAGCAAAAACCATGTGATCATCTCAATAGACGCAGAAAAAGCATTTGACAAAATTCAGTATCCCTTCATGATAAAAACCCTCAACAAACTAGGCATAAAAGGAATGTAACTTTAAATAATAAAGGCCATATATGACAAACCCACAGCCAACATCATTTTTCCCTGAAAGAGGAAAAGTTGAAAGCATTCCTCCTACAAACTGGACAATTTTCACCACTCCTATTCAACATAGTACTGGAAATTCCAGCCAGAGCAATCAGGGAAATGAAAAATAAATAAATAAAAGGCATCCAAATTAGAAAAGAGAAAGTCAAATTTTCTGTTTGCTGATGATACAATCTTATACCTAGAAAACTCCAAAGACTCCTCCAAAATACTCTTAAATTGATAAATCAGCAAAATTTCAGGATATAAAATTAATATACAAAAATTACTTTCATATCTACACACTAATAACAATCAAGCTGAGAATCAAATTAAAAATTCAATCCCAATTACAATAGCTACAAAAAAAATTCCAAGATATCTATTTAACCAGGGAGTTGAAAGATCTTTACAAGAAAAAGTAAAAAATAGTGATGAAAAAAATTGTAGATGACACAAAGAAAGGGAAAAACACCCTACGCTCATAAATTAGAAGAAATAATACTAGCAAAATGACCACACTGTCCAAGGCAATCTACAATTTTAAAGTAATCTCTATCAAAAACCAACATCATTCTTCAAAGTATTAGAAAAAACAATCCTAAAAATTCACATAGAAACAAACAAACAAAAGCCTGCATAGCCAAAGCAATTCTAAGCAAAAGAATGAAACTGAAGGTATCACATTACCTGTTCTCAAGTTGTACAAGGCTATAGTAACCAAAACAGCATTGTACTGGTGTAAAAATAGACAAATATCAATGGAACACAAAGGAAAAACCCAAAATAAAGCCACATATCTACAACCAATAGATCTTTGACAAAATTGGCTAAAACATATTAGGTTGGTGCAAAAGTAATTATGGTTTTTGCCATTAATGGGAAAACTACACCTTTTAAATAAATAGTGCTGAGAAAAGTCGACTGCTATATGCAGAAGAATGGACCTCTATCTTTCACCTCATGCAAAAATCAACTCAAGGTGGATTAAAGACTTAAATATCAGACCTGAAACCATAAAAACACTAGAACGCCTAAGGAAAATTCTTCTGGACAGTGGTCTGGGCAAAGAATTTATGACTAACACCACAAAAGCACAAATAACAGAAACAAAAATAGAAAAATGGGACTTAATTGAATTAAAAAGCTATTGCACAGCAAATGACATAATCAACAGAGTGAACAGACAACCTGCAGAATGGGAGAAAATATTAGCGAACTAAACACCTGACTGGGAACTAATATCCAGAATTTACAAGGAACTCAACAAAAACAAAATCACAAATAATTCCATTAAAAAGTGGGCAAATGACATTAATAGACTTTTTTCAAAAGAAGACATACATATGGCTCATAAACATATGAAAAAATACTCAACATCACAAAGCACCAGAGAAATGCAAATTAAACCACAATGGGATATTATCTTACACCAGCCAGAATGGCTACTATTAACAAGTCAAACAATAACAGGTGTTAGCAAGACTGCAGAAGAAGAGTGCTTATACACTGTTGGTAGGAGTGTAAATCAATACAACCTCTACAAAACAGTATGGAGATTTGTCAAAAACCTTAAAACTACCATTTGATATAGCAATCCCACTACTGTGTATCTACCCAAAAGGAAAGAAATCATTATATCAAAAAGATACAGAATCAATCTAATCTAAGTGTCCATCAATGGATGAATGAATAAAGAAAATGTGATATATATACATATACACAAATACACACACATATACATATATATATATGTACACACACATACACAATGAAATAGTATTCAGCTGTAAAAAGAATGAAATCATGTCTTTTGCAACATGGTTGGAACCAGAGGCCATTCTCTTAAGCGAAACAACTCAGACACAGAAAGTAAAAGACTCACTTATGAGTGGAAGCTAAATAATGTGTACACATAGACACGGAGTGTGGAATAATAGACACTGGAGACTCAGGAGGGTGGGAGAGTAGGAGGGGAAAGACAGATGATAAATTACATAATGGGTACAATGTACATTATTCAGGTGATGGTCATACTAAAAGCCCAGACTTCACCACTGTCTGATATATCCATGTAACAAGACCTCTTGTATGCCTTAAAATTATACAAATAAAAATAAATAAATAAATAAGGAAAAAAATGTCCTACATGGTAGTAAAAGCTACCATAAAGGTATAATAATGTAACTTTCAGTTATTGTCTTATATATAGAAAGTTAGACTAATGGACCTTTCAAGCACTGTATATGAAATAGGATGTGAATTAAGGAGTTGAATTAAAAATGAAAAGGCATAAAGAAACTAAAAGAAAATGTTGGTAAACATGTACATAATCTTAGCTTGGGAATGGCTAAGATATAAAGTCATGTAAAGTGAAAATTTATACATATTAATGTGTAATTTTGATAGCATAAATTAAAAAGTGCCATCATAAAAATCATAAACAATATTAATTGACAGAAGCCAAAACGAGAAATATATTTTCTAAAAATGTGGCAAATAAAACTATCATCAATAAATAATGATAAACATCCTAATAAGAAAGTGATAATGGCCATGCATAGGGAATTTACAAACAAAGAAGCACGAACAGCAAATTGGCATATTAGAAGTATTCAATCCCAACAGTACTCAAAAATATAAATTAAAATAAGATACAACTTCATTTATTCAACAGCCTTTCATTAAGCATTTGTCTTGTGCCTGGAATTTTTTAGGTCAGTGGTTTTCCAAGTGTGGTACCTGTACCAACAGCATTAGTACCACTTAGGAGATTAATAGAAATGCAAATTATTGGCCCCCGCAAAATAATTTTGAGTAAGAACCTCTGGTAGTAGGGTCCATCAATGTATGATTTAATAAGCCCTCCAGGTGATTCTGTTGTACAATAAAATATAAGAACCTTTGATTTTGGTGAACTAAACAAAGATCTGTTTCCTTTAGGGGCGTTATTCTAGGGTGAGAGATCAGACAAAAATTAAAATGAGTTAATTATATATTTTGATCAGAGCAATAGAAAAATACAGCAGGATAGAGAGATGGAATGTGAAGGCAAGAACCAAGTTATAATTTAAAATAGGGTGCTCAGGGGTGATGTCACTGAGAATGTATATTTTGGGCCAATGGCTGGAGAAAGATGAGACTTAGCCACATAGTTATCTGGAAAGAAGAGCACTCCAGATAGAGGAACAACTAATGCAAGGACCTTGTGCACTTGAGGAATCATAAAGAAAATCAAAGAGAAGATAAATAGCAGAGTTAGACAGGGGAAGATAATTGAAGATGAAATCAGAAAGATTATAGTCCAGTGGCCAAACTATGTAGAGGCTTGAAAAGATTTTGGCTTTACCCTCAACAAAATGGGGCACCTCTTTAGTGCTTCAGCGGAGAGAGTTGCAGCATTACCTTTCTTACATTTTTAAAAAATTTGTTTACTACATTGAAAATGACTATGGTGGTGTTAAGGAAGAGGAAATGCAGAGAAGCCAGCCATAGGCTGTTGGAATAATCCAGAAGAGAATTGCTGGTGGCATAGATCTGGGTAGTGACAATGTGGTGAGACTGGAGGTGAATTATAAGAAAAAGATGAGAGACAACAGTGACTCTGAGGCTTTTAGCATGAGGAATTGAAAAGACAGAGTTGCCATTAATTGAGATTGAAAGGCTATAGGTCAAATAGGTATTTGCATAAGCATTAGGAGTCAGTTGACATGTAGGGTTTGAGACGTTTACTAGACACTGAAGAGATGTATAATAGGAAGATGGAATGTACAATAGAGGAGTCTGGACTGCAACTATGTGTTTGGGAGGCATCAGTATATAGATGGCTCTTAAACTTGCAAGAATGAATGAAATCACCAAGGCAAAGAGTGTAGATACAGAAAAGTATAAAGGAGAGAGCCTTAAGGCCCTTCAACAAGAAAATATTAGGTAGAATAGGTTCTTTTTGGGTTGTTTGTTTGTTTCCAGGAGAGAAATCACTCTAAAGTAGTGGTAGCCTCCAGGCACAGCACAAGGCAGCTATACCAAATATTATGAAACAGGAAGGCTCACGACCAAATGAAGATGTTCAAAGTTCTTGCTTTATTGAATCCATTAAAACATATAATGAAAAGCAAGAAGAAAGAGATGGAGTCTGTTAACAATCAGGATATAGGGCAAATGTGCTGGAAAGACCACGCAATCCAAATATTGTATTATATAATATTTATTTTTCCTTTCTCCCTGACACATCAGCCTTCTACAGATAGTGTGGATATAAGAACCAAAGCTAAATGTGGCCAAGAGCCTGCTACAGTCTGAATGTTTGTGTCCCCCACAAAATTCACGTATTAAAACTCTAACCCCCAAGGAGGTGTTATTAGGAGGTGAAGCCTTTGGGACGTGACTAGGTTATGAAGGCAGAGCCCTCATGAATGAGATTAGTGTCTTTATAAAAGAGCCACTAATGACCTCTCACCCCTTTCACCATGTGAGGACATAGTGAGAAGGCACCGTCCATGAACCAGAAAGTGGGCCCTCACCAGATAATGAGTCTGCTGGTACCTTGATCTTGGACTTCCCAGCCTCCAGAACTGTAAGAAATAAATTTCTGTGGACTGTAAGCCACACAGCTCATGGTATTTTGTTGTAACAACCTGAACTGACCAAGACAGGAGCTCAGCAGATGTAAGTTGCCTGGAGCAAACACACATTTGCTCTGCTGGAAAGATTTAGTGTACAGAATTGTACACTACATGTGTAGATAGCCTGTTCAAGGAATTTTGCTATAAAGGAGAGCAAATAAATAAGATGTTAACTGGTAGAGGAAATGAAGTAAGGAGATTTTGTAAGATTGGTAAAATTATAATAGTACATTCCTGTAAAAATGATCCAGTAGAGGCCAGGTGCGGTGACTCACGCCTATAATCCCAGCACTTTGGGAGGCCGAGGTGAGCAGATCACCTGAGGTAGGCAGTTCAAGACCAGCCTAACCAAAATGGAGAAACCCCGTCTCTACTAAAAATACAAAAAATTAGCCAGACGTGGTGGCACATGCTTGTAATCCCAGCTACTCGGGAGGCTGAGGCAGGAGAATCGCTTGAACCTGGGAGGCGGAGGTTGTGGTGAGCCGAGATCGCAACATTAAACCCTACCCTGGGCAACAAAAGCAAAACTCCGTCTCAAAAAAAAAAAAAAGATGCAGTAGAGAGGGGAAATTTTATGATATAGGAGAGAGGGAGGGAATTGTTGGGGACATGTCTTTGAGTAGCTAAGATGGAATTGATATGCACAAAAATTTAAAGGACAGAATTTATAAAGCGACTCAGATAGTTTATTTTACCAAAAGGCGGCAATGAGTGGTACGGAGAGGCTGTGGGATATCTTTTCTGATTCTTCAGTTTTCTCAGGAAAATAGGAAGCAAGGTAATCATCTGGGATGGAACAAAATTTGGAGGTTTGAGAGAGGGAGGAGGTGTGGAATGATGAACAGGAGTGGAAAGAGGACTGGACCCAGGCATGAGCATTTGACCTGTGTGGTCAGTGGGAAGGGCAGCAGAGTTGTGTTTTTTTATTTTTTGTTTTCCGTAGCCTCATTTATCTGCACAGGTACAGAGGAAGAACAGGGCAAGAGCTGGATTTTGCCAGCATTGTAGTTTTGTCAGATGAGTACGATAAAGCAAGAGAGGTACAAGTAGGTCAAGACTGCTTGTAAAGGAATGGTTATAATGAATGACTATAAAATGTATTTGAAATTTACATAAAAGGGAGAATATTGAGAGAGGCCCAAATAAGTAAATACATGCTATAGGAAGCACTTTAACTCTGACTACTTTTATATGAGAGTATTTGAGAGCAAATGTTTACTCATTTTATTTCCAAAATAGAATAATATGTTATTTCTGTTTTATGGCCCTCACACAATCCATTATGAAATGCTAATCTTGGTTTGTGATTATGATATGCATTTTTTCCAGTGAAACCTCATATAAAAAAGCAACAGAAAAAGAAGTAAGCATACAAATATTACATTAGAATTGTTCCTTTTTAAAATGGACTTTACCCAGTTGCAAGAAGGCACAATATTTTCACCTTTTCATTCACAGTGGAGTAATATTATCAATGTTTGCCCCTAAAGATAACTCACATCTCTGTACGTACATTCATTTTCCATGCTTTCAATCTTATTTGTTTCCACAAAGTGGATAACAGACGTTTCAATAACTTTTTTTCATTACATACTGATAACAGATCCCAGAAACACTGTCCCATCACACAAATACACCTCCTAGTCTCTGATCTTATTCATTTTCATAGTTATCACAACCACAGACTTGGTTCCCATCACATGGCTGCAGATCACACATACCTACCAGTGGAGTAAAAGCAGCTTATCTTCCCAAGGGGATATCTGATTGAGATTAATGGGACAATGTTCATGCTATGCCAAGTTATTATCAGAATTATCTTATCGTTGGACTTAGAAAACATTTAATACATTATATTTCAGAAAGTTATGATCTTCATGTCAGATAGGTAGATAGATAAATGAGAACTTCTTGCCTTCTGGAGTTGCAATTCAATCCTTTTGAAGTTTTTATGTTGGCTTCTTTTTCGCTTTCTATCTAGACAATCCCTTATGCCCGTATGTGTTTATGGCACAAATCTATCTGTGTGTAATGTCTCCCTCTGTTCCATTATAAAACTGCATATGTTCTCCTACAATGCCTGCATGCAGGAGGGATCTTTGTGAACTGGACTATAATTGAAATGAACATTCATGCTGAGTCCGTGATGCAGAAAAAGAAAAAAAAATCCTCATGTTTAAAAGAGAACTATCGTCTCTAGGTTGCATTTTACCTTTCCTAACCTGGAAGATCTTAATGAAATTGAAAACAATGTTTTGGTCCTGGGGCCTGCTAAACGGGAAAACGAAGGTGTTTGTGTGTTTGTTGGTTCTTTATCAACCATATATCATATCTAGTTCCCACATGTTACTTTGACTTAACATACCCCAAATAAATAAAATTAATATGTTATAAAGCAAACCCAGGTTTTAAGAAAAAACAAACTGACCTCTTTCTTTTTGCCTAAGGGAAGATGGGTCCATCATGGTAAGGCTGAGACATGACAGAAAGTGCATTTAGCAAAACAAGCAATGTAATGAACATTCACAACACTGCTTTTATGCTGCTGATCAGGTTGTATGCTAATTTCAGTGTAAAATGTAGGTTTGGGATTTATGCCTTGTATAAAACATAATCAAGTTTCATTATTTCCATGAATCATAGCATTTTAATCTTTTCTAATTAGATGTAATTACTATTCTTTCTCACAGCAGGATAGCATGGAAGTATAAAAAATTTGAGGTGCCACATATGTAAGGGGGAGAACTACAAAAGGGAAAAATACAGGCTTCATTAGTAAATAAGAGAGGTTTTATTCTCAGGTGACACTGGAGCCATTCCCTCAGTGGGAAAAAATGGACACTGAGACAAAGTATAGTAGGTAATTACTATCCTTTTATAGTATTCTTTTGTAACAACTGGATCAAGGTCCAAGGACAGAAATACTTTCCATGTGGAGAGCAGAATTTTAATGTCAGAGTTTATGCATTTTAATGACAGCAATTTAGTTTATCAGAATAAATTGTCTTTCTAAATATTATGATTAATGTACTTTCCTCCCAAATAGTCTTCTGTTCCTTCTATCTTTACCTTCTGGTAAACTAAGACCAGAATTTTATATAGAAATCAAATAAGATGTCTTCCAGGTCTAAAGTATCAAAAATGTTATGAGTCTAGTTGCAATGTTAAGAGCTGTACCCATAAAATGCCGTCACAAAAGCAAAACTTTGCAGATGCCCTTATTCTCCATTTAGGAAAGTTTTTTACCAAAATAATTTATTCATGTAAAGAAACTTTTTACCACTTTTTTGCATGTAAGTTCTTCAGTGAACACGTTTATTTATGTGGATTCTGCAAAATTGGTTGTTAAATGAACAACTGGTGAAATCAGGTTCAGACAACCCAAACTTAATTTATTTTACATTTATACAGTCTACTTCTCATACAAGCCATCAAGCCATCCATTTCTTTGGGAGAGAACAATTTGTTTTGAAACCTAGATTAACTACCTGAACTGTGTATAGTGATTAAATTAACTGGTCAACTGTTCATTTTAATTCTTTTCTTCACTTTATATTGTGCAGAAAGAAAAAAAAAAAGCGTTGATAAACCAAAATAGTGAGCTTTACTAATAAAATAATATTCACCTTTTTGATGTTGAGTTTTATGCTGGTTCATTTAATCTGTAAAACATGAAATTGGAAATTTTATACAAATATACAACATAAGGGAACCCTCCAGGTCATTATTCTATTTCCAAATTTATGGCTGCCAAACTCAGATAAATCCTGGACAGGCAACATAGATTACCCAGATTACCAAAGTTTTCTTAATTGGCAATTCATAACTTCCAGCTGCTCTGAACAAAACCTATCACCCATTGAGATGTTGACATTTTTCTGCCTCATTAAAATATTCTGCAATATTCTGTGTGAATATATTGTTTAATTAGCCATTATTTCTGAACATATCCATGGACGTGATAAATGATTAGAACACTAATACAATTCATGGTGGCAAAGCAAGCCTGTTTAAACTGTACTCGCCTATATATTTGGACAACATTGTACTCAATATCATGGTGGGCAGGAGAAGAGTTTTATCCCATGGAGCACATTACAGTTTTTACCTTAAAATGTATTTTTGATGTCTTTGATTTTCCATGAATTCATTGTTATGTTCTTGAGAATATATTTATAATTACAAATGCATTTTAAGGATGTTCTATAACAAACTTAAGAGATCTCATAAATTCCCTTGATAAAATTTAAGCCAGTTAGATATAATTTACTTTAATGGGCTAAAAATTTTACAATAAAGATCCCTGATTGCATCTCTTGTAAGAAATAGCTGAGAGTCATTTTATGAAGACTGATTTAATAAGATATATGTTCTCAACTATATGAGATTACCATATAGATTTACACAGAAAACATGTCTCACTATTTCTAGATTTTTGGCCTATGCCATAAATTTGAACAGAGAATTTCCAAAAAAAGAAATTAATGAGTTTTTCTTTTGCACCCCCAATGTTTTCTCTATTAAAAATATGTTTTCATCAAATATCAAAATTGACAAAATCAACATAAGTAAATTGTATTTTGTACAGAAGTGCCTGCTTTCAGTTGCCATAAACCCACAGCTTGTGGCATGACATATATGATACAAGGGTGAAATACGTACAAAATATTTAAGATTTGTAAAGGGTAGTGTTGTGGTTATTTTCCTGAGTAAAAATTTTTAATTTGTATAATTACACACAACAAACTGAATAACCTATTTCATACTTAGTGTGTGTGTTTAAGGCAGTTATAAACATTCCCAATAGTCTTGGGGAATATACTACACTTATTTACTTCTATTCCCATTTTTTAATAGCAAAAATACCCACAGTAATTTTCATGATCACATGCGATTTGTCACTTAGGTTTTTCCATATGTTCTTAGGCGCTCTTTGTTCATTTTATTTTGTGAGGATTTAAGATTATCATGTATAACTGTGAAGACTCTGAAAAACATGGGACATAATAAAACAAAGAAAAGAGCATTCAAGTTTCACTTGCTGAATTCAAGGTGTCCCTCCTTAAGTTTTGTTCCACTAGTAAAGTTAAGGAACAAAGGCTTAACTGTCCCCTCAGTATCTTCTCCTAGGTAACAAAACATTGTAATTTTCTTAGAAGAGCTTAAGATATTACAATTATTATTATTAAAATATTTTAGAACTTATTTGCAAAAGCTATTCAATAAAATAAATATACTCCAAACAGCAGAATGTTTGTTCTTTATTCCACCTTAATATCAACTGGCATATTGTGACTCCGTATGGACATACTCAGATACTTTTAAATGAGATTAATTTTATATGTGGCTCTAGAAAAGCATTCTTCATAATTTTTGGCTCTAGATTGTTTCTCACACTTTATCATCTATGTTCTAGGATTTAAGTGATGACTATCAAAGTTAGTGCCTGGTAGCTATATTGTGTTACCTTGCTGTTTAATCTACAAATAATCCTCCTTATTTCCTTCTGATAATCTATATTGCAAAGCATTGGGATGTAGTGCATATTAAACTAAATAGTACTATAGATTGCTTCAAAAAGTCAAATCCCGAACAATGCTAAAAGCAGAAAGTCTTAGTATTCCCTACAAGGAAACTCTCTCACTGGGCATCCCTTGTTTTAAACCTGGAAAGTCCAACCCAACGCAGATGCTAACCAGCTTCAGGGGCGTTTTACAGTGTATTCAGGTAGCTATATTCCAGAAGGACCACCCCACTCTATGAAAGTCTTATCTGGCACCCTAAACATTTACAGCTTTATTGAGGTGTAATTGACATATAGGAAACCATACCTATTGAAAGGCTACAATTTGATTAGTTTTGACCTATGTATACACTCATGAAAGCATCAGTACAATCAAGATGATAAATATGTCTATCACCACCAATGTTTCTTTGTTCCTTATCCATCTCTGCAGCCTTCTATGACCCCCCTCGCTTCTCCAGGCAACTACTGATCCGCTTTATGTCCTATAGACTGGCTTTCATTCTCTAAACTTTTATATAAGTGGAATCATAAAATATTTACATATTTTCAAAAGGAAGCAGCATCTGATTTCATTCAAGCAGTATAATCATTTTGAAATTCATCTATGGTGTTGTATGTTTTAGAATTTCATTCTTTTTTTTCTTTGATTAGTTTCCTATTGTATGGAACATTTATCCCTTCACCACCTGATGAATATTCAGATTGTTTCCAGTTTTCAGCTGTTATAAATACTTATGTACATCTTTATATAGATAAATGCTTTCATTTCTCTTGGATAAATGCTTAGGAGGAGAATGTCTGGGTCATTTGCTTAAGTGTATGTTTTGCTTTTGAAGAAATTGGCAAACTTTTTCAAATGGCTTACCATGTGACATTTCTACCAGAAATGTATTGAGTACCACTTCTGTGCTCCTGCCAACACTTGAAATAAGTATTCTTTTTAATATTAGTGATGCTGGAGGGTATGTAAGAGTAGCTACTTGTGATTTTAATTTATGTTTCCATGAAGTACCATTGATATTGAGCAACTTTGAAAGCACTAATCTAATATCCATATATCTTCTTTGGTGAAGTGTCTGTTCAAATCTTTCAGCCATTTGGAAATTGGATTTTTGTCTTACTAATATTGAGTTGTAAGAGTTCTTAATGTAGTTAATGTAGTCTAGATACAAGTCCTTTGTCAGATATATGTTTTGAAGATATTTTTCCCAGTCAATAACTTGCCTTTTCATTTCTGTAACAATGTCTTTGGAAAACAAAGAATTTAATTTCAATGAAGTAGAATTTAATGACTTTTTTCCTATAGTTCATGCATTTGGTGTCCAGCTTCACAAATCTTGACCAAAAACCCATTTAAAGTTAATCTACTTTATAAAAAGTAAAAGAGCTGTAGCACACAACCATTTTTCCTCTTCCAGCATTTGTCCTATTGTAGTCACTCATTTTACTTCTACATATATTATAAATTCCACAACTCAATATTAACTCTTATTACTAATTCTTGTTAATTTGAAACACTGTACTCTATTTTTAAAGAGACCTTAAATAACAGAGAAAAACATAGAAGTCTTTTATCTATCCACTTTATCATTTCCAGTGCTTTTCCTTCCTTTATGTATACTCACATGTGTGTCTAGCAGCATTTTCCTTCTGCCTTAAGACTTTCTTTATCATTTTTTTAAGTACAAGTTGCTACTGATCAATTCTCTCAGCTTTTGTGTTTCTGAAGAAGGCTTCATTTTATCTTTCTTTTTGAAAGATGTTTTCTCTGGATATAGAATTCTATATAGATAGGTTTTTCTTTCTTTCAATGCTTTAAAGATGTTGGTTCACTTTTTTCTGGCTTTCATTACTGCTAAAAAAAAAAAAGTCTGCTTTTATTCTTATCTTGTGTGCCTGTACATAATATATCTTTACTTTTTCTGAGTGCTTTCAAGATTTTCTCCTTATCACTTGTGATAAGCAATTTTATCAGAATTTTCATGGTTTAGTTTTTGTGTTTTGTTGAATTTCTCAGATCCCTGAGTCTATTACTTTTATCAAATTTGGGGGAAAAATCATTTTTTAAATTAGTAAGCCCTTTTGGAGAACTTTTAGGTCCACAGAAAATTGAGCAGAAAATGAAGAGAATTTCCATACATCTCTTGTTGCCCCTGCTATACATACAACCTCCCTGACTATGGACATGGATATCCCTCACCACAGTGGAACATTTGCTGCAATCGATAAATCTCATCAGTACCACACAAAGTCTGTAGTTTACATTAGGGTTCACTTTTGGTGGAGTACATTCTATGGGTTTTGACAAAAGTATAATGACATGAATCCACAAAAGTAGTATCATACAGAGTATTTCCACTGACCTAAAAATCTTTCTACTACACCTATGCATCCCTTCCTGCCCGCTAACTCCTGGCAACCACTAATCTTTTTTTACTAGCTTGCTCATTTTGCTTTTTCCAGAATGTCATATACTTGGAATCATACAGTATGGTTGGAATATTGGAATCATACGGTCTTTCCATATTGGCTTCTTTAACTTACTAATATAGATTTAAGTTTCCTCCATATCTTTTCATGGCATGATAGGTCCTTTTCTTAGTGCTAAATAATATTCTGTTGCCTGGATGTACTACAGCTTATCTATCCATTCATCTACTGGAAGACATCTTGGTTTCTTCCAACTTTTGGCAATTATGAGTAAAGCTGCTATAAACATTCATGTGCAAGTTTTGTAGGGAAATCAGCTTCCAGTTGATTTGAGTAAATAACGAGTGTGACTGATGTAACAGAACGTGAGTGTAAGAGTATGTTTAATTTTTAAGAAACTGCCAAGCTGCTGTTCAAGATGTCTATACCATTTTGCATTCCCATCAGCAATAAACAAGAGCTCCTGTTGTTCCACATCCTCACCAGCATTTGGTGCTGTCATTGTGCTTGATTTTGGTTATTCTAATAGGTGTGTATTGGTATCTTATTGTTGGTAACACATTTTTGTTTTAATTTGCATTTCCCTGATGACATATGTTACCATCTTTTCATAAGCTTATTTTCCATTTGCATATCTTCTGTTGTGAGGTGTCAGTTAAGATCTTTGGCCCATTTTTAATTGGACTTTTTTCTTATTGTTAAGTTTTAAGAGTTCTTTGTGTATTTTTTATAATAGTTCTTTATCAGATAGGTCTTTTGCAACTATTTTCTCTAAGTTTTTGGCTTGTCTTGGTCTCTTGAGCTATTTTTCAAATAATTTATTTGTACTTTTCTCTTTGGGGAACTCCTTGTTACACATATATTAGAAAATCTGAAGTTAGCTCAGCTCACTAATGTGATTTCTTTGTCTTTTTCACTCTATGTTTGGATAGTATCTGTTATAATGTCCTCATATCTAGTAAGTATTCTTCTACAATGTCTAATAGTTAATCTGCTATTAATTCCATTTATTATATTTTTATCTCAGATATGTAGTTTTTCATCTCTAAAACAGCATCTGTTTCATGTCTTTTATATATCTTCTAAATATGCTCATTCTCTTTTACCTTCTTGAATATACAGAATCCATTTCTAGTAACTCTTAATTTCTTTGTCTATTATTCTTATCATCTGTGTCATTTCTGTATTATTTTTTCTCATTGTTGCTTGTGTATTCTTGGATGAAATGCCAGACACTGTGAATTTTACCTTATTGAGTATTGGATTTTCTGTATTCCTTTAAATATTTTTTAACTTTTTTTCTGGAATGCAGGTAAGTTTAATTCTTCCAAGGCTTTATTTTAAGCTTTGTTAGATGACATCAAAGTGGGTTTTATTCTAAACAACTTGAACCACTATCAAGGGCCATTCTGAGTACTCTACCTTTTGTCCTATGCATTGCAAAGTCTCTCCTTGCTATTTAGAAGAACGTTAATTAGTCATGGCTCTGTGCAAGCCTTGTAAATTGTTCTGTCTGCCTTTCTAGCAGTTCTTTCCCTGGCCTCAAGTAGTTTCCTCAGAAGTGTACACTTATCAGCATCAGCCGAAGACTCAAGGAAAACTCTCTTTGTAAAATTTGTTTTGTGCTGTTTTATGTTCCTCCCTGTCTAGTACTCTACCCCCAAAATTTCCACCTAAGCCTCATGGAATCTGACAGTCTGCCTCTCCAACTTATAGAAACCACTGTATTTCACTTGCCTTCCCTCTTTCTGCACAATGACATGAAAACTTTCTCTAAGAGGCAAAATGAGACAGTCATTTGTACCCACATTGTTTCTCCCTCTCAGGAATCAATACCCTGTTGTCCCTCGTGTCCTATCTCTACAACCCATTGTTAGATATATTTTGTCTGGATTTTTAGTTAAGGTAAATGGGCAAATCCCATCTCTGTCACTCCATTAGGGTCAGAAGCAAAATTCTCACACATTTTTTTTTAAATGTGAAACAACTTTAATGTTTATCCCCCATTACACAGCTTTACAGAGATTGAACATCACTAGAGGTTGAAAGCTCCTTGGACTTAGAGGGTCTTGGGATAGCCAAAGAGGCCAGTTTGCAGCTGCCCCAACACAAAAGACCTTGACCTGAAGCAGCCACTTAAGAGTGATGCTCATCTGGGTGTACTTGCCCAATAGGCCTAGAGGCCATTCAGCTAGTACGGATAGGTTGTTGATGTTTTTCTACCTTCTTAAGGGAAATAAAGCTATAGAGAGTTTCTAGGATGGGGCTTAGGACAAGCAGTGCCTTGGGCATGCAAATGCAGCAGAGCATGCTGTTTCCAGGCTAGGGCAGGATTGAGATGTACTCTTGCACCATGACTTCTTCTGTGAGTGACCTTGCACTCCTTCAATCAAGCCTCAACATCAATCTTGCTTTTCCAGCTTCAACAGGCACTCATGGCTTGCTTCCTTTTCCTATCAGTGCACAGAAATAATCTTGCTTGCTGGGGTCATGTTGTTGTAGCACACCTGGTAATTGAAGAAAAGCAGGACTGGAGATCTGTTTGCCTCTTTGTCTTGCAGAAAACTGAAGGCTGATGTTGTCATGGCACATGTAGACTTATTCCTTTCATTACCATCACATTTGACTATCAAACACTTTAAAAATAATGCATGGTAATTGTCAAAAATTCAAAGAAATGTAAAGTTGAATGTTAAAAGCATCTTCAGACACATGAACATTGTTCAAATATCATTTTATAGGATTCCTATAGGATGTAGGAATATCTAGCATTTTATACATTAATGTGCTGGACTTTATATTACTGGACTTTTCTTTTTTACTCAACCTTGTTTTGTGACCATTTAAATAATGGCATAACATTCATTGATGGGCATAGCAAAATACATGTAGCCATTCCTCAACAGTGAAATATTTTGGTTGTTGAAAGTTTTGGGGCCTGATCTGATTATGCATCTTTATACATAAACTTTTATATGATTCCTTCTTTTCATAGGGAAGATTTATCTGAGCAAGAAAATTTGATCATGTGCTTTTGACATATGTTGACAAAGGTATCAAATTATCCATTACCATTTATGCACAATTTACCATATTCCTTCTAGAATTTTGTATATATAAGTTTAATTCTATCAATTTAATTGGTCAAAATTGTGATTTATCACTATTTAACATGAATTTCTTTACCTGCTACTAAGGTAGAATGTGTGTTCAGATATTGCCTATTTTATTTTATGATTCATCAGTTTTCTCCCTTTGCCTGTTCTATTTTGGACTTTAATGTTTATCTATCTGTAAGGGTTGTTTATGTTTTCAACATCTGGATAGTTACATGTGTTATAAATATGACACAGCTCTTTAATGCGTTTTCTTCACATTCTGAAAACACTCTTGATTATCTGTCAGTATATTATTGGAAGATTCATCTGTGTTCAAATCTTGAACATAATCTTTCTTTGTATGATCTTACATGTTGCCATGTCTCCGTGAGTCTCAGTTTCATCTTATCAAAAATGCATATAACAATACCTGCCTCACAGAATTAATGCATGAGATTACGTAAAATGTTATAAGAGGCAGGAGACATGGCACATAGTTGGAGCACAATACATGTTAGTTTCCCTTCTCTGTATGCAGAGTTTGAATTCTGTAGATATTCCTTGATAAAACCATATATTAACTAATACTAGTTTTCAGTGATGAATTTTTAAAAGACTTTTTTTTTTTTAGTTTTAAGAGATGAGGTCTTGCTACATTACCCAGGCTAGTCTCGAACTCCTGAACTCGTGCGATTTTCCTGCCTCAGCCTCCCCAGTCTCTAGGATTACAAGCATGAGCCACTGTGCCCAGTAAAAGCTTTTTTTTATGCCAAATGACACTGGATAACATTTTTTATTCACTTTTTGTTATGCTATTTGAATTCACATCTTTTCATTGCTATGTTTTCAGACAGTTAGTCTGCAAGTGTGTTAATGTTTATATACCCTGAGGGGATGAGAAAGGGTGTGTGTGTGTGTGTGTGTGAGAGAGAGAGAGAGAAACAGAGAGAGAGGATGAGAAAGGGTGTGTGTGTGTGTGTGTGTGTGTGTGTGTGTGTGTGTGTATGTGAGACAGACAGAGAGAAAGGATGAGAAAAGTTGTGTGTGTGTGTGTGTGTGTGTGTGTGAGAGAGAGAGAGAGAGAGATTAATGACCAATTCACTGCTATATGAATCAGGGCACATTCAATCAAGAGTTTTGGGGGGCTGCTGTACACTTAGCCGGCATAAGTTGTAGAGTTATAAAAGGCCCCCCCTCACCAAAATATCTCCTCTTGATTGGTCTGTCACGTATTTCTAATCTTCCTGTCACTCCTTAAAGACCACCTAAAGGTGATGTGCATTTCAACTAGGCTAAAATGGACTTTTACCTGAGAAGAGTAACATTATCAGAGATTAGTCTATCAAATTATTCCATTAGCACCTATTACCATTTAAAAGAATGCACAGTCCTGAGGGACTGGGACTTAATATAGAAAAGGTTTGATTGCTAGCAGAAGGGCTGAAATCTATGTTGTTGGTGGTGAAATGTTCACTGCAGATACATGAAGTGGAGTGGGAAGTGGGATTTCAGCCTCAGCACCAGTGGGAAGCCTTGAAGACAGACATCAAAGAAGCTTCAATATGTCTGCAGGCATGCAAAGGGCTGTGTCCAAAGGCCACGTGCCTCATGTGTCTGCAGCTGCACAGGCAGATTTAAAGTTATTCTGGCCAGGAAAGGAATTGGGATAGATAAGACCAAAGATTCTACCTTTCTGCTTTTCTATAGCTCCCTACAGTATATACCTCCTAGCACTGAAAATCAAACTGTTAAGACTTTTCTCAGCGGCCAGAGAGACAACCAATTTTCTAGTCATGTCTGAACATACCAGAAAATACATGAATGGGTATGAAGGGCAAATTTTCATCATAAATTCAGAGAGGAAAAACACAGCCATTGTTTAAGTATTATACTATGAACTCTATTATGTGATCAAAGAAAAATTAGTAAAAAAGTTAGTAAAACCATCTCTTAGAATAACTTGCTCTCATAAGTGATTATCAAGTATTTGTATAACACTGAATGCACACTGGGATTGCTCAATGCATAGTTTCTTTTCTATGCAGAGAAAAGACAGTAACAAAGCAAGAGTCAAACACTGAAATACCCACAGTACAAAAAACCCTGAGACTGTTGCTCTGTTCTTCCTACCAGTAATTTATTCACAGCAGCCAACTGCAGAAGAGAAATTTCCTCACCACCAAGGACATTACTTTTTTCCTCATAAGTTCTTTTCACAAAACTTTTCAATATTTCCTATTTGGTTGTTAAACTGCCAGTTGCTCACACAAAATTGAGACTGATCAATTTAACTGATGCTATGCTTAATTTTGAACAGAGTTTGAACAAATTACCTAGCTTTTTTGACATCATATGAGCATGACTGTGTTAATTCTAATATTCCATTTCTTATTAGGATTCAAAAATAGATAAAAGACAGAGAATAAGAATGAAAATAAAACAGAATAATGTTTTAGCCTGCCATCTGAAGACTTATTAACAACTATGGCAAACATTTTGGTACAAAAAGGTTTAAAACTCTTAGCTAGAGGCAATTATGTTGGATTAATTAATATTCATAGCCTAGTGGCTAAGAGAACATGGCTACAGCATTAGCCTGGCACAGGTTACTAGCTCCACCCATCAGCAGCTCTATGACCTTGGCCAGTCACTTAACTTCTCTGCGCCTCAGGTGTTTTTCAGTCAAATGGGGTAATAGTAACACTGCTCTTACAGGATTGCTGTGAGATATGGAAAAGCTATTGCAAATGTGTTTGACTCATGAAAAGAGCCTTATTTAATATTAGCTACTATTATAATCATTATTTACTGATGACTCATAAAGTGCTGCCAGCATGAGGAGAATGAGAGGAACATAATACATGGTCTCTTTCCAAAACCCTTCAGTGTCATGGGGAATAAAAGACCCACTGAGAAAACAATGAGAGAGCAAAGGCACTATGGTTGTATTTCTGACTACTAACTCAATAAAAAACTCCAAGAAGGTCAGGATTAACTTAGACTGCCTTTGCTATAATAGGATTCTTGAAAAGGCAGGCATACAATGCAGGCCTTGAAGAATGACCAGGACTTTTAAAATTGCTTTAGGGTCACCCTTGGACATGTGGTCCCCAGATGTGTTTTGTTTGGCTTATACAGTATTTTTTAAACATTTTAATTAGTTGCCAACATTTAAAATTAGATCACCATCTATTCTACTTCACCCATTTAATTACCTGCCTGGTTCCTGTCATTATTTGAATTTACAACCTGTAATCTATGGACTTAATTCCTATTCTCATTGTCACTGGTAACTATAAGCTTTGGTAAATAGAGAATGATTTATTTTCTTCATATAGTGTCACAAAGTTCTGCTCCACTGAATACTAACAAGCGTTCATAAAAATTACTTTTTAAAAAGTAGTCTTTCTTCTTAGAAACTGATTTCTAACCAATCTAATTTGGACTGGATTCAAGGAAAAATTACAAAAAGTATTATGATTATGATTTCTTCACCTGTTTTGTCTCTATTGTTCCATTTTTGCTGAAGTATTGAATTAGAACTTAATGAGCTATGTATTATAGGCAGAAAAAGAATAGTATGGTGCAATGCATTGGGAGAATTTAACACAAATCATTGCAAAAAGTGGCAACAAGACAAAAACTTCCTAGAGACTATTTGGTCTTGGCTAAAGCTGAAAGGGCTGCCAGCATGCATTTGGGAAAGGATAAGCTTCTAAGAAGAAAGACTACTTTTTAAAAACTAATTTTTATGAACACTTGTTATAAGCGTCTATCTACAAGCTAATCTGATTACCCCCATTGATGAAGGATGGATACCATGCCCCATAAGCCTCCAGGTATCCAAGCACACAACACTCAGCATTGGACAGATGAGATCAACAGCAGTTTATTAGTCCCGTGTACTCACAGCCTCGGGGAGAAGAACACTGTGTGTGCCATGCAGCCCCATCTGGGGGTTACACTCAAGTAGAGTGAACAAGCAGGGGCTGTGGGAAGCAGGCTTTGCAGTGACAAGAGGGTAAGATAACCCTTGGTTCCCATGGGAGAATGTCCCTGGCTTGTTTGAATAATTTTGCTGGCTAGCAAGGCATACCTGCCAAGACCAGGGAACTCATAGCTAGTTCCTAGAACCTTGTGAGGCTCAAAATGTCAAGGCAATGCATGGAATTTCAGGTGTTACAAATGCATATATGTACATATTTTACTATTTACTCTGATATTTTAAAATCAGTAGGGAATTGGGTAAGTTTCTAACTAATGGTTTTTATGTCCCAAATACATCTCTGTTGAGAGCAAGGTATTGGATTTTCAAATATGCATTTTTGATAAACTATCATGTATAGTTTTATCCATTTAAAATATTGTAATATAAATGTTTTTTCTGTAGTTCTGTATCCAGTAAACTAAGACCATGCCTTTCCACAGCATCTCTGATTTTTCAGTAAATTCCCACAAACCGTGCTCAATAAGTTCAAAGATACAAGCTCTATGCTCCAAGCCTCAATTCTTTGTTCATTTTTTTTACAATTCCTTATAGCATTTCCTTTAACATCACCTTGGTTTCACTACTTTAAAATTGCCTTTTTATTATCTACAGGACATGATTCACACTCATTGCGGCTATCTGAGAGTCTGACACCCTGCACAGAGAGATAGCTGGATGTCTATAATGCCCAGTCAAAGGGAAAGTATAAAAGGAATAAGCACCAAGTGTGGTATATGATAAAAATGATCTCCTCTACAGCATAAACTACTTCTCTGAAGCCCTGGGAACTTCAAGATGTCAGTTTATATATTGCTACTTTCTAAGCTGCATTATGTAATTGAGACCTCTTAAAAATTAATTAAGAACATCAGGTTTTTCTGACAAATGTAGTTGAGAAAAGCAAAGATAATATTGTTCAAAAGAGCTAACTGATCTCAGTCAGGAAGATTCTGTATGATTAAAATTATGGTTACATATTTTCCTAGTTTTTTCAGTTGATGGAACACTTTCTTCTTTCCTATCTGTATGTGCCTTGATATTAATTACTTCAAATACAAACATTTGTGGTGCAGCATATACTTCTTCAAAATGAGTTCTCATCCCCAATATAAAAATTAAAGTATTGCTTTCTCAATATCGTATGTTTCCAAATTTCTATAGAATGATATTTAACTGGGACTTTAAAAAATATTTGGTTTCCAAGCTTTATAAGATAACCAGTGACATGAATCTGTGACTTTTTTAAAGTGGCACAAATAGTATTAACCTTTACAATTATAAGAAACAATAAATATGCCTTCTGATCTACAGGACAGCTTTTTGGCTATCTCATTTTCTTATATATAATCTTTGCCTAAATGTTATCTGTTGGAACACATTTTCTTAGAAGTTCTGATTGTGACAGATAATGAATATGCCGATACTTGAAGAAAATTTTTTCCTTTATCACTGTCTTATTTCTCCACGGTAACCACAGTGCAGTCACTTCAGGGCCAATGCAGAAAGCCTTTGTATAAATGACTATCTTAAAAAAATTCTGAATAAATTTAATATCAAGAAGAGAATTTCTGACTTTCCTTAGAGCTCTTAAATTGATTGAAAATCTAAGACTAATGGCAGACAAATAACTTAATGGGAATGTTTTTAAATGATGATGTAAGCTTGACTACACATCCATCATAATTTTTACTGGATCCTTTTTTATCAGAGAACATCTAAAGCAACCTGGAACACATTTGTTCTTGAATTAAATTAAAAATTATTGTGAAGACCACGTTCTATGCTATGTTTTCATATATCTTAAAAATATTATGTCAGAATTGTCAGCCTGGATAAAAATAATGTATCTTCTTTAATCACATAAACATTAATAGATTTTTTCCAATGTTAGTATATGTGCTACCAATGCACAAGATTTCTTAATTAACCTCTTGTCAAAACCAGTCAATTAATTTTTTAAATTATCTGTATTTGACTTTCTTCTTATTTGTCTTAATGGACAATACTCTCTTAATAAATATGTTCTCTGAGTGGTACATCACACCTTCTAAAAATAATCAAAAATTCAGGAAATGCATTTTATTGCTGAACTTAAAACTAGATGATAGAAGCCTTCTTTACTGGTATTTGTAATGCATAATTTGTTTAAAATTAAGTTTGCATAACCTATATTTTGTTCTATTTTTATAAATCCAAACAATGAGAAAAATTCGGATCTTATTTTATCATTTCAAGACAAGAACAAATGAATGAAGTGTATATATCATATAAATTTGTGTGCTTCAGTGTGTGCCTCTAGTCTGCTCTAGGCCAACAATATTTATAGCATTAAACTAATAATATGCTGTAAATTATAGACATTGAAAAGTGTTATTACTGATTTCACTTTTCATAAGCATAAAGAAACCAATTGCATTATTTTGTACCATAATTATGAATAAATATGTTCCTCTTATTTCTTACTAAATTAATATTTAAAAGTTGCCCATTTTAAAGTACTCCTGTGGATATTTAAAAGAGTATTCAATAGAGGTTGTCCTTAAAGAGATTAAAATATGCTATAGGTGTATAACAATTAAGTTAGTATGCTTCTAATAAAAGTATAGACTATTATATCAATGAAGAAATTAATATGTGAAATTTAAGAAGGCATTGCAAGTGAATAGTGTATTGGAAGATAATTTCAAAGATTATTGTGACAATATTTTAGGCTACTGGGGAAAAGAATCCATTTTCTTCCATATGAAATACCTTACACCAAAACTACAGTTGGCTTAAAGATTTAGTCTAAATCAAAAACTGGAACAAATTAGAAAAAAAAATAGTAAATATTTGCCTGATCATGAGATGAAATAATCTTTCTAAGCAAATGTGGAAAGGCAGAAGCCCCAAAGAACAAGTTCAATAAAAATTCCAAAAGTTGCCACAAATACAGAAGAAAAAAGTTACCATCTTTAATACATGAAAAGAAAAAAATAACTTTTCTGTCCCATTTTAATGGGATACCTTTATTGTACCAACTTTCCTCCTAAAGTCAATTAAAATTGTTAAGTCAGGCATTTTTTTAATATACCTTAAAAGCTTTGAAGAGGTGCCCAGATAGCGGAGAATTGACAGGCCAAATTCCAGGAGGACCAAATTCTAAGAGGATCATATCTGCTTTTGCCCTTAGGGGACTTGCATAAATCTACAAATTTTGGCTAAAGTTAGGCAGCATCATAAACTTTTAAGGGCAGAAATAATTATCTAGAGTCTGTTCTAGGTGGTAAGCATCACAGGAAAATACACCCTGGATTAAGCTGAGACCCCCCCAAGGGGCTACTCAAGGTAAAATGTTCCTTGTGTTACCCAAGAGGAGAATAAAGATACAGATTAACAATAGACTTTGATGAATTAAGATTTGGGATACACATTGTAAATTTAGTGTAACTGCTAAAATTATATAAACTAAGTATATAACACCTAAACTAGTTCAAGAAAAAAATGAAATGATAAGTAATCTATAAGCAGCAAAGAAAAAAATATAGATTGAGTGCCAGTGAGACATAAAATAAGATGCCAGACTTAATTCCAAATATATCAGTAGTTATAGTAAATACAAATGATCTAAATGTTTTAGTTGAATATCAAGGATTATTAAACTGAAGGGAAAATAAGTGTACCTGTATTAATAATTACAAAAGGTTCAGTTTCACCAGGAAGATGTAACAATTATATATGTTCTTATTCCTAATGGCAGAGCCTCAAAATATATAAAGTTAAATTGACAGATTTACATATGAAGAAAAATAAATTCAGTGAGGATTTTAACACAATTCTCAGTAACTTATAGAAAAGAAAGAAAAAACAAGCAGAGATATAAGAGGAACAAAAACAAGTAAATTGACCTACCAGATATATATGGAACCCTATAGTTTACAGTTGCAAAATAAATGTGTTATAAGAGGACATGAGACAGTTTTTTATATTGGGAATATTCAGTTATAAAGCAAAATCCAACAAATTTCAAAAGACTCTTCTGGCCATTATATAATTGAGCCAGAAATCAATTTTTGAAAAGGATAGTTAGAAAATATCTACATATTTGGAAATTACTATTCATAGGTAACCCGCTAATCAAAAACAAATTATAACAGGAAAAAGAAAATAATTTGAACTAAATTTTGGGATGAAACTAAAGTAGGACTTTTTCAAAAAAAATTTTAGATAAAAATTTCATAGCCTTTAATTAATATATTAGAAATAAAGGTTTAAAGATTAAGTATTTATCTCAAAAAGGTAAATTAAAAAGCAGTAAAATACTTTAAAAGATCATAGAAGAAAGGAAATGCTAATTATAACAGAAGAGAATAAGCAAATAGAAAACAAATAGAAAATAGAGACAAGTGGTTAATTAAAAATAATTATAATATAAAAAATTGGGGGAAGTGATAAAAAAAGACACAAATAACCAATATCAGTAATGAAAATGGGATTATCACCTTCGATACTATAGAAACTAAGATGATATTGGATATTTTCAAAACTTTATAATAAATTCAGAATTTTGAATGAAGTGGGCTATTTTCCATAAAAAGATATCTTACAAAAACTCAAAAGAGAGAGAAGGTAGGGAAACAGATTGAATGAGATCCTGAAATTTTTCTGTCATCATTAAATAAATTGAATGTAGTTTAAATAAGTCTTTTTTACAAAGAAACTTTTAGTCTCATATGGCTTCATTGGAAATCTCTTCCAAAAACTAATGGATATAAAAATTTCCTGTTACATGATCTTATCAGAAAAAAAAAACAAACAAAAAGAGGTAATAAACCCAACTCATTTTCAAATAACATAATCTTGAAACCAAAATTCAACAAGGAAAAAAATGAAGTTAAATTACTTACCATTTTCATTTATAAACATATAAGCAAAAAAAATCTTAAAATCAAAAAATAAGGCACAGCAATGGTTCATGCCTGTAATCCCAGTAATTCAGGAGGCTAAGGTGGGAAAATCACTTGAGCTCAGGGGTTTGAGACCAGTCTGGGCAACATAGCAAGAATCTGTCTCTACAATAATAGAAGAAAAGAAAACATCGCAGCCACTCAGGAGGCTGAGACAGGAGGATCACCTGAGCCCAGGAATGTGAGGCTGCAGTGGGCTATGATTAAGCTACTGCACTCCAGCCTGGGTGATGAAGCAAGGTCTCATCTCAAAAAAAAAAAAAAAAGAGAGAAAGAAAGGCAAAATTAAATCTGACAGTATAACACATCAAAACCAAATGGCTGTAACAAGAGTACAAGGTTGCGATCTACCCAGTCTAATATCCAGAGTCTACAAGGAACTTAAATAAATTTACAAAAAAAAAAAAAAGAAAAGAAAAGAAAGAAAAAACAAAACAACCCCATTAAAAAGTAGGCAAAGGGCTGGGCACAATGGCTCACGCCTGTAATCCCAGCACTTTGGGAGACTGAGGCGGCCAGATCACAAGCTGAGGTCAGAAGTTCAAGACCAGCCTGGCCAACAAGGTGAAACCCTCTCTCCACTAAAAATACTAAAATTAGCCAGGTGCGGTGATGGGTGCCTGTAATCCCAACTATTTGGGAGGCTGAGGTCCGAGAATTGCTTGAACCCGGGAGGCAGAGGTTGCAGTGAACCGAGATTGTGCCACTGCACTCCAGCCTGGGTGACAGAGCAAGACTACGTCTTGGAAAAAAAAAAAAAAAACAGTGGGCAAAGGACATGAACAGACACTTCTCAAAATAAGACATTCGAGCAGCCAAAAAAATTAAAGAAAGCTCAACATCACTGATCATTAAAGAAATGCAAATTAAAATCTCAATGACAGACCATCTCACACCACTAAGAATGGCAATTATTAAAAAGTCAAGAATCAACAGACGCTAGTAAGGTTTCAGAGAAAAAGAAACATTTTACACTGTTGGTGGGAGAGTAAATTAGTTCAACCATTGTGTAAGACAGGGTGGCAACTCCTCAAAGATCTAGAAGCAGAAATACCATTTGACACAGCAATTCCATTACTTTCTATATATACCCAAAAATATATAAATCATTCTATTATAAAGATACATGCAATTATATGTTCATTGCAGCACTATTCACAATAGCAAAGACATAGAATAAACCCAAATGCCCATCAACGATAGACTGGATAAAGAAAATGTGGTACACATACACCATGGAATACTATGCAGCCATAAAAAGGAATGAGATCATGTATTCTGCAGGGACAAAGATGCAACTGGAAATCATTTTCCTCAAAAAACTAACAAAGCAACAGAAAACCAAACACCACATGTTCTCATGTATAAGTGGGAGCTGGAAAATGAGAACATATGGACACATGTGGGAGGAACAACTCACACTGGGGGCTGTCGGTGTAGGGGGAGGAGGGAGAGCACCAGGAAGAATAGCTAATGGATACTGGGCTTAATACCTAGGTAATGTCTTTATCTGTGCAGCAAACCGTTATGGCACACCTTTACCTATGTAGCGAACTTGCACATACTGCACATGTACTCCAGAACTTAAAATAAATGTTGCAGGGACAAAAAAGTATTCCCTTCAATGTGAGATCTTTCTTTTTATTCTAGTATTTTTTTATAAACTGGTCAAACACATCAGCTGTCTTGTTAGTCCTAAATGTTCTTTGTGATCTTACTTCCAGTCACATCTCCTTGTCAGACTACCTGACACTCCTTAAGCAATCCACTGTATCAAAAAATTCTATTCCTGTCCTTTTTACTTTGATACACTTCAACCTAGCTCTATTTCCTTGCTATAGCTGTTACACACTTTCTTCTCTAAAGCAATTGGGAGTCCAGTGACAGGCCTCTAGCTGAGTCTTTCCCAGTCAAGTGTAAACCCATCCCTACTTCCTGCTCCTGGTTCTATTCATCTCCTCAGTCATCTGCATTGCTGACCTACTTCCAGCTTCCCAACATCTCCAGGAGTAATAGCTTCTACTCTTCTTAGGGGCTGCCAACATCTCCTTCATTTTTTTTGTAGGGGTCATCTCTGCCTGTATCATATTTGCACAGCTCATGCTCTGCAGGTTAGGAGAGACCAGTTGCTAGAACTGACTTCAGGGGACCCAGGCAGCACAGTGATTCATACCCAACCCTTCAGAAAGAGAATCCCAAAGAGACTAAGGATATGTGTATTTGTTCCAACAACTGCAGAGTCCACTTAGGTTCAGAGGAGCCTGTGTACTCTGAAAATTACAGAACCCTTCTGTATCATGATTGGATTTCTACTTACCCTCTTGGTCTGAGGAGGAATCTACAGGCAAAGGGTATGCCAATCCTCCAACTCTGGGCTTGAGAAAGGAGAAAGATCTTACAGGATGGACTTACCAACATCAGGCAGCCATATTTTTGTAAAGGAAAGGATAGCCTACTTTCTATTTCACAATTTAAGGTGGCTAAGTTTTCCCAGTGTGTGACATGACACACTTGTGTATCATTTTGCAGAACACCATGATGTCCTTTATCCGTGCCACCTGATATGAGTATCTCTGGGAGGCTTAGCTGAAACAGTGTAGCGTAGCAATTTTATATTTGTATATAATCTTCCAGATTTCTGTGTTGCTATGCCAGTCAGTTTATTATCCTCTTGAGCATCTGAGAGTGCAAGGAATCTTCTGATCAAACTGCTGCAGGAGTGCAAGCTATGTCTCTCCCACTAACCTGTTGCCTGTCATGAACTCTCCATGGGAAATCTCTGCTTGCTATTAAGTTCTATACTGTGCACACAATCCAAGCAAGAAACGAAAACAATGGTTTCTCTATAATTGAATGCCAGTGTTTTTGCTTTTCCCATCACTAATTTCTGTGGAATATACTGTATTTATACATTTAACCTAACCTCAAATGCCTTCCTCCATGTCGGATTCAACTGTCAAATGTCTCTCAAGATTATCTATCTACAGTAGAGATTAATAATGCCTCAGTCAGGTGGACTATGTATTTAAAAACAAGTTTTTTGACAATATAATTATAACACAACTATACCATAAATATTTTCCACGCTGAAAACACATCATTCCTTCCTATACCAGTACCCCAATAGTCAAGACAATGAACCAAAGTCAGTCAGATATGTCTGGAACATAAATTATTCATAATTTTCACACATTACCCAAAATTTAATTATCGATGGCTTTTTTCTGTTTTACCGTAGCCAATTTACTTTGACTGATGGTATTTTTTAGAGTACTAATAATTTGGATATGGTTTTAGAAATAGAAATTCTCCAAAGTAAACTTCAGGGGTTCATCTCATGATCCTTTTATCTCCCCCTTCTCTGTGGTCTTTCAAAAGAATTCCCACGACTATAACATCAAGAATAATTAAGAATCACTGTTAGCAATCTCAGTCACTGTGTAACACTTTATGTTCATTGCCAAATACATTTATTTTTAAACTAATTTCTACTTCTATTATTATCATTACTGCTTATTAGTAAGTGATAACATATATGGCTTTCTCACGTTCATGAAAGTTTCACCGTTGTTAAATTTCAGAGCAAGAGTTTAATACTGAAAGAGAAAATGTATTTAAAGTAATAGATAAGAATTTTATGTGCTAAATATGACCTTTTATTTCATAACAGGACTAAGAACAGCACCTTCTAATCACACTTTGTAGATCAGGTTTGAGGAGTTAAGAGCAGATTAAAAGACCCAGAGTAATGACCTTATTCTTAAATGATTTAAAAGATCCAAAGACCAAGACTAACAGTCCAAATGCAAATTTCGTAAGGACACAATGAGGAGGAGAACAGGAATATATAGTAGACAAGGGAGGTGGTCATAGAAGTACTCAAGACTCTACTTCCTGTTCCCAGCCTGCTGGAATGTTAAGGTCCACTAAGAGTTAGACAAGAATTCCCTCAATGGAAGTATTCCAGATTTGTATTAGATGCTACTACAGACAGGTCTCGGACATGAGAGAAATAACTGAAGTACTTTGGTAGTGAAGGAACCCTTTCCCAAGCCCAGCGGGTGACCTGAGGAAAAGAAGAAGGCACTTTCTATAGCACTCTCTGCTCACGTGCCTGCATTTTCTGCAGGAGAATGACTGCTGTCCTGACTTTGATTTCTCTCATGACCTGCCACACTTTCTTTCTAAAAGTAAAAGCAATGTTTTCAATACCTTTTCTCCATTTTAGAAAAATCTTTGCTCTTTCCTAGAATTACACGATTTCCTTTTCAGGCAAAGTCACTTCTAAACTGAACTGGACAAACTATACTTGAGTTAAATATGTTTTTTCAAAGCAGTTTTATTCCATTATCTGAGAATTTAGCACCACTCTGCAGTCCAGAATACACTTTCATTACAGAACTGTCGAAATATAATATGGCCTGCAATAAAACCTGATAAGTAAATAAAGTAACAAAACCAACTTTCTTTTCAAAGAGGAAGTCCAATAATATTTTAACATGTACTTCTGATTCAAGATACTAATATCTGCCTAAATACATTTATTTGCAGTTTGTATGCCTTATTCCCGGGCCAGTACATTATTTGGGTTTAGTTGTGGTTGTTGTTAACATTATAATCAAATTCATAAATAAAAGGGATAGATTTGGCCAGTTAGAAAGGAGCTGAAGTAGAATTGCATGCAAAGCAAATCTCAATGATTTTCTCCGGAATATATAAAAATATTGCCTAAGAATTGAAGGCCACAGCAAGTAGACTATCATCAGTTTCCCTATATTATGGGGAAATGATTTGGAAGTGATTTTCACAATGGAGATTTTTGTTTGCTTTCTACTATAAATGTATATCTTTTTCTTTTACTCACTCTTTCTTGACCCTGCTTCTAAAACTGCATAATCAGCAATGTCTTTCCTGTGTTGCTTTCTATTTGTGAATCTTTCATCACAGTCTATTTCTTGAGGTGACTGTATATATATACGTATATATATATACACGTATATATATATATACGTATATATATATATATATATGTCCCTCACTTTTTTCAAGGCACATGACTACATTTATTTTGTATAAGAAGTATACAAACAAAACATGCAATGGCTCTGTTTTCTTCTAAAAGGTCATATTACATCTTAATTCAAACCAGGAAAATAATTATGTTTTTAAAGAATAATGTACCATGTTAGATTTGGGATGTGCATACAAATAAGAATAAAGAAAAGACAGCAATAAAATTGTGTACTTGTAGAATGTTGTAAAGTGTTGATGAAAGTCTTACCTTCTTTTTCTTAAATAGATAGCCATAACTCACAGGGTTCTTTTTGCAAGTCATTGATGGCACTTCTCTGGCTTCCATGTACTTAAAAGGGTACCTACTAAAATCTAGAAGAATTCATAATTCACTTGCTATCTTCATGCTCATTCTACTGCAAAGATACCATTCAAAATTTCTGGGTTGACAGCTAGCTATTGCTTAGACAACCTTTTAAATCATTTTGAAGTCACAGTTTCTGTCATTAGTAGGCCATACTGACAAATTATCACTGACATATTTACGCTATCAGTGTCATTCCCTGGCAGCCAAGATGTTGGAAAACATACTTGAGTAGCAACACGTATAGGATGTACTAGTTCGCCATCTGGTTGTTTGGGTTTTATGCTGGAGAGAGTTCTTTTGTTTGAACAAGGCAGTGCTGAGATTGTGACTGGTTCAGTGAAATATCACTAAGTGGAACTTTCTATTGCATGTTAATGTAATGAAGGATATGTTGCTTCCTTATAAGAAGAAACTGAATCCTGGTTACATGGCAATATCAACCTTCCTGGGGAAGAGTAAGCCCAGGTCACTAGGAAAACTATATTTTTTCAAATGTCCATTCCCTAAAGGCTATGAATATGTCTAAAAATGTCATCCAAGCGTATGAACCACATTATCTTTGCATTATTACACAGGTTGAACATCTCTTACCCAAAATGCTTAGAAACACAAATGTTTCACATTTCAGATTTTTGGAATTTTGGAATATTTGCATTATACCAAATTGGTTGAGCATCTTTAATCCAAAAACCTGAAGACCATCCAAACACCAACCTTCGATTTCATTAAATTCAAGAGCATTTTAATGCATTATAGTTCACCAACTGAGCATCCAGAATCTGAAATGCTCCAATGAATATGCACGTTGAGCATCATGTTAGTGCTCAAAAATGTTCAATTTTGGAGCATTACAGATTTAGGATTTTTGGATTAGGGACACTCAACCTACACATGTGTAATCTTTCCTTGGACTAAAGCCATTTTTCAAGAGTAATAACTTCAATAATATTCAGATGAATTACATAGTGTCTTAGTCAGTTTAGACTACTATAACAAATACCATAGACTGGTCACATAAGCATCTATTTCTCACAGGCCTAGAGACTGAGAAGTCCAAGATCAAGATGCCAACATATCTGGTCTCTGGCAAGGGCCCTCTTCCTGGTTATATCCCCACATAGAGTGGGGGAAGGCAGAAAGCTCTCTCCATCTCTTCTTATAAGGCACTAATCTCATCATAACAGCTTCACCTTCATGACTTAATTACCTCCAGAAAGCCTCATCTCCAGATATCAATACATCGGGGATTAAGGTTTCAGTATATGAATTTCTTTGGGGGAGACACATACAGTCCATAATACATAGCAAATAAAATGATGTGCACGTACTACTGAAAGGCTTAATGTACAGGCCTTTAGCTATTTTTATATGAAGTCTGATATGTCACATTGTGAGAATATGGTTGTCCACCTACAGTAGAAGTATATATACTGCCTATCAGCACAATCATCAAAATCCTGGGTTTCAATCTCAGCTCTGTCATGATCCATGTATCCTTGAGCAAGTTACTTAACCTTTCTGTGACTTTTATCATCTATAAAATTATTGTAATTATAAAACCCTCGTAATAGGGTTGTTCTGAGGATTAAATGAGAATATACATGTAAAGCACTTGGAAAACAATTCTGGCATTTAATAAGAAGTATGTACATGTTAAATATTACTATTATTATTATCACTACAATTTTAAAAATCCATATATTACTATATACATATATTATATGTGTATATATATACATGTATTATCCATATATTACTTTGCTGTTTGTACAAAGCTTTTTCAAATGAACTATGTTATTCATATGAACTTTTTTTTTCTTTTTTATATTGGAAGCTCTTTGAGGGTGAAGGTTCATGTCTTTTCCCCTTTTTTTTTTTTGATGGAGTCTCACTCTGTCACCCAGGCTGGAACGCAGTGGCATGATCTTGGCTCACTGCAAACTCCACCTCCCAGGTTCAAGCAATTCTCCTGCCTCAGCCTATGGAGTAGCTGGGATTACAGGCATGTGCCACCATGCCCAGATAATTTTTGTATTTTTAGTAGAGACAGTGTTTTGCCATGTTGGCCACGCTAGTGTTTACCTCAGGTGATCCGTCCACCTCGGCCTCTCAAAATGTTGGCATAACATGCATGAGCCACTGCACCCAGCCTGTCTTTTCCCTTCTTAAACTCAGTACCAATCACATATAATAATCATGGTCTCTGCTAGACCCACAAACCTCTCCTGGGGGAAACTGCTCAGTCCACCTGGCCCCTGCTGAGACATCTTAAGGTTTGCTCTAACAGATTGTGAAGCCAAACACAGTTCCTCTTCTAGGAATGCAAATTTTGTGATTTGGAGAGAATCCGTGGGGCAACAGCCACTGAGAGATTACATCAGGAGATGATACCAATAGAATAGGGGCCATGGGGGTCATTATGTGTGAGAGATTTCTAAGAAAGTAAGGTATATTGACTGTTTTCTTATTTTTTCATATTTTTAACCACCTGGCATCTGGGTCCTTGCTGACCTCAGGAAGAACTGCCCCTAAAAGGGCTAGCTTATTCCTAAAGACAGTAAAGGACTTGCCCGTGATCACTCTTTGATACATAAACCAACCAATCTAGAGCCCTTACCTCTAGCTACCTCCTGTATCAGCTCTCACACCTCTCTCCCCTGACCTAGTCACCACAGGGCAAGGTAACAACCAGGACAGCCCTTATAGCCCAGGGCCCACAAAAATCATTCAAACTAACCAATCCGAAGCCTGCTTACCTTGCTTCACTTCTTTCTTCCCAAGAAAACCACAATAAAGGATTCAACCCACTAAGGCCTCTCCCCGCGACCTTCTGCCTTCTCCTCTCTCCTTGCTGCTTCCCCATGTGGCCCTGCATGGAGGGTTGTGCCTCCTATTTCCAGGGAACTGTGAGTATAATAAACAGTTCTTCCTTCATGGCAATCTTTTCTGTGTC
Organism: Homo sapiens; assembly: GCF_000001405.40. NCBI lineage: Eukaryota > Metazoa > Chordata > Mammalia > Primates > Hominidae > Homo > Homo sapiens. The sequence continues at coordinate 118,369,366 of NC_000005.10, forward strand.
TGAGTGTCTTACTATATATTATTAAAACAAATCCTAGGTGCCATTAAAACAAAAGGCACTCTCCTGTAGGTTACACTGCTACATACTTTATAAAATAGCTTAAGGGTACAGATTAAAGCGGCCAAAGACACTAGAGTGTGAATGAATAAATGAATTCTGGCTGTGAGAATCAGCAAATACTTCTCAGGAGGTGCAGCAATTGAGTTGCATGTTGAATGACAGGCATATATCCAAAATTTAGAAATATGTTGCATGAAGGGGTGGGAGGATGGGTCAGCAGAAGAAATTGCCTGAGCACAGGTAGAAACAAGTGGGACTATAGATTGAAAAGACTTGAGGAGGCCAGGCGCAGAGGAAAGGTTGGAGCTAAGATCACATTCATTGAAATATTAGCCGTATATGTTGGCTTTAATAGAGTAGAGAAGGGCTCAAACAAAATGCTAACTTCCAAATGAACCTTTGCAAACCTAATGTTGTCATTGACTTCTCATGTACTCACTAACCTGATAAAAGCTGGTAGCTGGCAGGAGAGGATGTACATACAGACAAGGTGATGATAATGGCTCAGCTTCTGAGGCAGCTTGCCTTGATGGCCTTAACACCATTTCCAGGAGTAAATGTTTCCATCACAGTGTGACAAATGTAATCGGTTTTTGAGGCTGCATTTTCAAAAATTAATAATACACATGCTGTGTGAAAACATTATGCTCAGAGGCATGTTTTTAGAAGTTTCTAATAGAATATCTTAAAGAAATCATCCTAAGATGAAGTCAGAGTTTCACAACGTATGATTCTAGTAATGGTGCATGGGAAATAGATTTATAACTGAAGGGTATGGGAAGGTAACAGCAAACTGGGACATAGTCAGTATTTCTGTTCCATTAATTTTTTAAATTACTTCAATTATATTCTTTTACCAGAGTACAATAGGGAATCAGTTAATAGACATTTATGAAGGATTGAGATGGAAAAGTACACAGACAATATAAGTAATGAACCAGAGAGGAAAAGTAAGCTTCTATCTGTCAAGTCTCATTCAGAAAGCCCTGTGAAAAAATATTCTATAGGCTGAATTATAGGGAACAATTTAACAACAACAGGGTAACAAATCAAAATAGACCTTTCCCTGAATTCATTGATCTAATGGAAAAATCATTTGATTATTATAATTTGATTTTTTTTTTTTTTTTGAGACAGGGTCTTGCTCTGTCACCCAGGCTGGAATGCAGTTGTGTGATCATGGCACACTGCAGCCTCTACCTCCCCAGGCTTAAGCAGTCCTCCCACTTTAGCCTACCAAGAAGCTGCGGCTACAGGTGCGCACCACAAGGCCTGGTTAATTTTTGTAAAGACAGGGTTTCGTCATGTTGCCCAGGCTGGTCTCAAACTCCTGGACTCAAGCTATCTTCCCGCCTCGGCCTCCCAAAGTGCTGGGATTACAAGCATGAGCCACTGTGCCTGGCCTGTAATTTTTAATGGTAGTCATTTGACTTCTAACATACTCTTCAAAAAGCTGTACCTAATTTCTTCATATTGATAGGGGGAAAGTACAGAAACCAAATTATTTGCTCCTTAGATAACCTATGTTTCTATTTCCGCTTGTGTACATACAAACAATGAAGAACTGAGAGGATCAAACATACACTAAATATGGAATTTTGAGGCTATCATACTCCCAAGTAAATGCAAACAAATGCGCTTTGATTAATCCCTAAAAGCCTTAACATGTGCAGCACATCTGGGAAGGAATGCATATTGGGACAAAGAAGACAGAGGAGCTAAGAAGTTTGAGATTTTCTCACCATCAAGCCCAGGTCCTTTTCATGCTTTCATTTAATTGTCATCAGCCTCCTCAGCTAGAATAAAGTATTTTGTAATTCATTAAGCTACAATTAGGGACAGCTTCTGCAGTTTCAGTTACTCATGCATAATGCTATGAAATACTCTTAAATTTATGGTAACATGAAATTTGTTATCTATGACAAATTAATACTTAGGCATACATCAATTGATGAGTTTACAGAACTCTCCAGATCTCTCCATTGGGTGTTAGATAGACCAAAGTAATCAGTATATATTGAGCACCTCCTATGCACCAAGCATTTATCTGATATGTTAGAGATACAAAAAGAACATGACATGGCCCTTTTCCTCAAAGGTTTTACAGGACTTAGTGTTCAGGCAGAAATGTTTAGCTAGCAATAAACTTCCTTAAATGTAAACTGCCAAATGCATGGTTCGGAAAATTGATGTCGTAGGAATTTCCACTTGTGGTCACCACTTTAGTTAGATTAGGTAAAGAAACTTAACTTAGTCTTGAAACAGGTGTCAAAGGATCCAAAGACACAACCAAGGAGTTCTTAATCTATAAGTTGTGTCCACATTTGGGGTAGAGAAAAGCATGCATTCCTGAAGAAGTAAATATATTCCAATGATAGCAAGAAAGTAGATGGCCTTGAGGCATTGTTCCTCTCAGAGATTTCTTATAATTTAGTGGATTAGCAGTTGTTTGTTTGTTCATTTGTTTCTTTTTGACCACCAGAAAGGTCAAGAAAGAGGTCTAGACACAAATACATGGTGCTAAATAACAATGTAGTCTTTCACATACAAAGATGAAGCCATCAGCTGACCAGATACCTAGCTTTTATTCCCTATGGTGACAGGTGTTTCTGATGCATTTAGTTCTATTCTTGCTTGTGGCTCCTTCTGAACAGGTAAACATTTGAGAAGTAATTGCTGGTGAAGAGCACAAGCTATAGAGTGAGAAAACTCTGATTGCACTTTCTAGCTTAGTCACTTACTAGGCATAAGACGTGAGCCAAATTATTTGCTCTCCGTAAGCTTGGGTCTCCTGCTTAGTGAAATGTGAGAGATAAACACTCAAATCAAAGAAGAATTATAAGAATCCAATTCGATAGTGCTTGTGAAGCACCTGATATTTAGTAGGTACTTAAAACAAAAACTGGCTGCTATTCTTGTCATTAATCCTGAAAGCAGGCTCCAGCTATGGAAAACATTCTGTCAAATGACCCTCCCTGCTGCCTCCAGGACTGGCCAACAACCTCATTACCACCAGCTGGTCTAACTGGCCACAAACCAAGGAAAATAGAAAACATCCAAACCAAAATGCTAGATAACTAAAGAAACATCAAAAAAGTAGAACAAATGGGAAAACTGACTGGAAAGGCTCAAATCAGCCAACAAGAAAACAGAGTCCCTATTCTGCAAGGCCATGTGGACACTGAACTGTAAATGGCTTTTGCTAAAAATGTTCATTCATAAGCAAATGCATATATGTTATGCTCTTTCTCCATATTTTAATCCCTTATACAGCTGTTGCCTCACTTTCATATTCCTTTGTTGTAATGCTGCCAGCATTCTCCTTCCTCCCTCCTCATTAAGAAGAATGAATTGAACAAGCTACATGGAGAGATTTACACTGCAAGGGCTGTCAGAGGGAATTCCAACACAATGATTTACTTCGGTATCAAATTCAAAACGAGGATCAGAAATCCTGCATTATCATCTATAATGAATCTATTTCATCAACTAATTTAAAATCATGCATAATTCATTACGTGCATTATTCATTTATATTTAGCATGTATTTCCCTAGATGTGGTCTCTATGCTAACTTTGCCTCACTATTTTTTCTGCATAAAATGATTATACGTTTCTTTATTGGTGAAAACAGAATGACTTTTTGTCAAATTGGGTCACTAATTTTCCTATATAACACAATAATACTTCCTGCCTTTTATTTTCAAAACCCTTTCCTTTACATTGTCATTTTATCCTTCTAGTAATCATGTTTTTATCAATCTTGTGTTATTTTATTTTAAAAGTAAGTAATCCATCATTCCAAAAGAATGAGAAAGTTGCTCAAATAAAATGTAATGTCAGATTTGAATCTAGAATTAAAATCTTCTGGCTTCTAAGTTCTCCAATTTTTAAAGCAAAGATCCAAAATTTGGGGAGTTTTGTCTTGAGAAATTATCTATATGAAAACAATGTACAAGTTTTTGGTGATAGCTTTTTAGCTAATGAATCAGTTTTAAGTCTTCTCTATTAACCCAATATGATAATACTATCTGAAAATGTAGTTTTTTTATTATATTACAGGTATAGTAAGGCCAATAAATTAGGAAATAGAGGGCTATTATGAGTAGAGGGACCATATAAATTGTTATCTACACTGGGACACTTTTGAGGGTGAAAGTGTCACTTAATAAGTATACAGTGACAAAAGGCATAAATGGTTTCAATCCCAGACAAACAGGATTGTATGAGCACCTGAGCAGTGGGAAAGAGAAGACCCAGCTAACTATGACACGCTATGACACTGGCTTTAGAGATGTTTTACCTCATGTATCATCTCTGAGTCTTTACTGGACATCGGGCAGTCAGCATTTGAAAGTTACTTTGTGATTATGTTACTCCATCAGGTTCCTCCTAAATGTCCAAGTCTAGCCCACCTATATTTCCCCCTTACTCCCTCTGCCTTCTGAGTGACCCAGGTGCTTCCCTATGTGGCCTCTTCTCTTGGGAGGTAACAAGTTACCATTGGGAATAAAAGCTAGATATCTGGTATACTGATGACTTCATCTTTATATATAAAAGCAAAATGAATATGAAGATTCATCCACCCTTCTGTGGGAAACTATTGCAATGTTAAAGAACGGTAGGGCTCACAATCTAAATTTAATCCTAAAAGGAATTTATTAAGTGCCATAAACTAACCAACAACTCAAGATATCACTAAGAATATGGTATTTTATAGAGCCAAGAAAAAGCACCATCTATAAGAATAAAAGTAAGAGAAAAGCATGTTAAACTGGTGAAACAAGTCTGATGTAAGTAGAATTTATACTATTTGCATGTATAGTTCTAATGTGATTGAAGAAAAACTGTAGGAGGTTATACTGCAACTGCTGACTATGGAGGGCCTTACACCTCACAGTAAAAGGTACCAAGAGTCTATACTCTATGCCTAAATACAGGGATGTTTATGATTTAATTTTATGTGCAATATTACTCCACAATACATGGTTTATCTACATTCCTTCATAAAGCTGAATACAGAGCTATAGAAGTTATGCAAACATGCATCATAAGAACTTATAAGTACCTTCAAATATACAGGAATAAACTGTTAAGAGGTCTCAAAGGAAGGAAATAGCAGGGCTGGCACAAGGTGATTGTAATATTGAGGGAGCAAGAAAAGTTTCCTGGAGAAGGCAAGATTTGAAACCATCACTGAAAGATGGAATGAATTTTGACAATCAAAGGGATGTGAGAGGCATTCTGGGCAGAGGTAATGATGCAAGAAAGGTAAGAAAGTGATATACTCCTCATTGCTGGAGTTCAAGACTGCAAAGGTAGGTCAGGGGACCAGAGGGTGAGAGATCATCAAGTTAACCAGCTTCTAACACAGTCTTTCTGTATAGCAGTTGCAGAGGAATGATTCGGTTATAATCTCTAAAAATTTGCCATGATTGTTGTGATTATTCACGAGAATTAGTATACCTTTGGGAAATAGAATATTGATGAATGTATTTGTACTCTCAGATTCAAAGGTAAAATCGCACAAGTCAGCCCAGCTGTGGGCAACCTAGATAAGAAATGAAAATGTAAAATTCTTTTTTAATTTAAAAGCAAACATAGCAAAAGTAAGGTTGCAAACGAGCAAGGACTCTCATTGGGTTTTCCCACATTAAAGTCTTAGATAAAATACAGCTACTTTTTCAGTATTTTATGAAACCTTAAAGTTTCATAAAAACTTTAAGGGTGCATTAAAAAGCTTTTGAATTTCATGAAACTGAAGGATGGTATTTCTTTGGAACAACGTAATAGAATCATTAGGACATTAACTTATTATCCCTACAGAAAATGTCTTACAAACTCCTTGCTAATAATAGTAGCTAACACATAGTAGTGCTTGCTATGTGCCAAGTATTGTAAACACTTTACATATATTGACCAAAACGACCTTTTGTTCAAATAGAATTGTAAACCCAGTCAAAAAAAAAAAAAGGAAAAGGAAGCTAACACATCAGTAGCCTTGCATAGCCACAGAAGATCTGCTAGGCTCTGAGGGAATGCAGTTTGAAAAACACTGTTGCAGGCTTCCCACAGAAACGGACACCATGCACCATGAATACAGTGTCAGTGAATGTTTGCATAGCTCCTACTTTGGGAACTATGAGAATATTGTAAACAAGAGCAGATAGGTCTATTTTCCCTGCACGTCTAAAAATAATGTACTGGTTGCCAACATTTTAAAATTAGACTTGATACTGAAATCTGAATGCCTGGTTTCTCCTAGAAAATACAAACATCCAGAAACCATAGATCCCATCCTTCTATAGGACGGCCATATCCTGTAAGGCAGAGGCCTGGTGTCCCTGTAGGCAATCTCAGGGCTCTGTTCTTCAGCTGTCCACCATCCCTACCACACCCCCTTCCAGGCCCACACGATTTGAGTCTAAAAAGCTTAGTTTAGGGTAAAATTTCAAGTGCTTAAATATAGGTTGCTTGGACAGTTTGGCTCAGACTGTTACTGGATCAGAAAGAGGTTCTCCTGGAATTTTTCAACTCAGCTATGAGAAACTGGAAGTTCAGATAATGTGGCCAGCCACCTAGTATTTGAACACATAATCTTAGTTTTTCAATTATTTTTATTTACCTTTGTTCCATGACAGAACTAGAAATGATCGGGGCAACACCCTCCTTTCGTAGATAGGAATACTTGAGCCAGTTACAGTGTAATCAGTCCTAGGATAACAGTCACTAGTCTTAGGTTTCTTCATACATTACCAGCTCTCAACACCATCAAACTTCTGCCAGATTTTCAAGAATCACTTCCTGAAAGAAGTGTACTTTTGGCCCATTTTTAAACATTTTAATTTATTGTTATTGGAGTTTATATATTGCAGGTGTTTAAGAGAAAAGAGATGTAGTTTAACCTTAAATTAAATAAAAGAATTGGAAGGAAAAATAAATTGTTCCAATCATTAAATGTACATTATAGAAACTGTGAGCTTTTTGTTTTTAAGACAGGCATAGTTCATCATTCAAGAATGACATTAAGTCTATATTTTTCTACCGTAGGTAAAAACGGCAGGGACTGAGCATGGCCTCAAACTTAAAGAACAATGAGCCAATCCATTAAAATTTACAATCCTATTCCTGGAGCAAAGAAAAGCCTCCAGAGGTCTTTCTTAGCTTGGCCTCAAATTCTAATTATAACCCATAAAGGGATTTCTTAATCCTAGAATAGCTTCTTTGAAGTTAAAGAGTAAAGAATGAAATAACACCAACTAAGTGTTCATGTGTGAGTACCTAGGAAGGTCATGGTCAAGGCTAGGAAGGGGAGATGTTCATATACCAGGACTTTCCTGGAGTAACACTGGCCATATAATCAACTATATTAGTTGCTAGGGCTTCCATAAAAAGATAGCACAGACTATGTGGTTTAAACAACAGAAATTTATTTTCTCACAGTTCTGGAGGCTGAAGGTCCCAGATCAAGGTGTTGACAGGTTTGGTTTCTCCTGAGGCAGCTCTCCTTGGCTTGCAGAGGCTGCCTGCTCACTGTGTCCTCACATGGCCTTTTCTCTGTGTGGAAGCAATCCTGATGCCTCTTTCTTTTTTCATAAGGACGCTAGTCATATTGAATTAGGGCTCAACATATGACCTTGCTTAACTTGACCTCTTTAAAGAACCTAAATCTAAATATAGTCACATTCTGGCCAGGCCCGGTGGCTCATGCCCGTAATACCAGCACTTTGGGGAGCCAAGGTGGGCAGATCACTTGAGGTCAGGAGTTCAAGACCAGCCTGGCCAACATAGTGAAACCTGGTCTCTAATAAAAATATAAAAATTAGCCAGACATGGTGTCTGGTACCTGTAATCCCAGCTATTCGGGAGGCTGAGGCAGGAGAATCACTTGAACCTGGGAGGCGGGGTTGCAGTCAGCTGAGATGGGGCCACAGCACTCCTGGGTTACAGAGTGAGATTCCATCTCAAACAAACAAACAAATGAAGTAATAAAGTCACATTCTGAGGTACTGGAGATGAGGACTTCAATATATGAATTTTGAGGGAGACACAGTTTAGCCCATAACATCAGCACAAGTCAAAAGAGAAGAGAAAAAAAAAATCATAAGGACCAGAATATAGACCTTGATTTAGCCACAGAGACTGGATACAGAGGATCCCACTCCTGATTCCAAGAAACCCTTATCTCACTACTACATGAATCAGGCTTCTCAGAATCACAGCAAAAGTATGATTCTTCTCCTCCAACCACATTCCAATGTCTGTATATCCACTGCACACTTAATGTGTAAAAGAAAAAATTAGGAAGGCCCAGGCTAGGAAGCTCTCAAAGTCAACCTTTGCAGAACACAAAGTGAAGACCTTCTTAAATGTTGCCCTCTGGGCATCTCTCTTGGTTCGTCCTAGTCTTCACACTCAGAACATCAAATTGTTAAAAGCTAAAAGAGCTGAAACGGAGAGGTCACAGAGCTTCTGATACAAATTCCAGGTCAGCCTCATGTTTATGTCAGAAGGATAAAAATCAAGGACAACCAAAATAATTTCCTTCTTCCCTATTTTAGATAGCATCCAGAAGAGGAAATAAAGATGATGAAAGAAGGCTGATGGACATAAAGTTATTTGAAACATGTATGTTGTCTAAGTTATACAGAGGACATGTTAAATCCTACCTGCTATTTTTCAAGTAAGAATTGTGTAGCTTAAAAAAAGAATAGAAGAACAATTATGGCTATAGAGATGCTTATGGCAAACACATACCTTGATCATAGCAAGGTGGTAAAGTAGTACCACAACTGGACCACCCACCAACATCTAGCAGAGGGCAGAGGACATGGGAAAGTAACGTAAACATGACATCACTTAGTTTAATAATTCTAAGTTTCTTCTACACTTTCACTGGGCGTGCATCAGATTCAAACCTATTCAGTGTGGAAGTTGATTTTTTAACACATTATTGCAACAATACCAAGTGTTCTGTGCTCAGGGTTTTTTTTAAGCAATAAGTCATGCTTCATACTTGCTTTGGATAGTCCACTTAAATGTCAAGCCTCGCTGAGAGACAATGGTTTTGATTCAGTTGCTTTATTTATTTGTTTCCTCGAGGTCTCTGCCAGATTGTGTTTACAACACAAAATAACATATAATATGAAACTTCATTAGCTTTTACAAGGTCACTAACCACATTTCTTGACAAGCACCTGGTTTAGTTGGGGGATATTTCAATGATGTGATTAAACTTTCCTAAAGCAATCTTTAGTTTAATTATGGCATAAACTTAACATAATTGGATTACTTAGCCTGGAGGGGAAAAAAAGGCTGAAAAGTGACTTAGTAACTGCCTTAACTATGTAAAGGATTTTTTTCATTAACACTATTAACTATATGAAGGATTATTATAAGGAATCAGCTATTCTTTAGATACAATAATGAAGGAAAAGGCATAAATGGATTTAAGGAAAAGAATTAGGGTTAAGTTAGTAGGGGAATTTTCTGTTGTCTTGTGTGGTTAACTTCTAGACTGTATTTTGGAACTGTTATAAAAGATAGCTTCAAAAAAATCACAATCTCTCAAAAGTCTTTAAAAATCACGGATTCCTATCTGTCTGAAATGGCTTTTTCCTCAAGTCCCTTAAGTTTCCATCTAGAAAAGCTGATCATCTTACTCACATAAAAATGTTCCCAGCAGCAGCTCCCTCAGCCCCTAGTACAGTGTGTTATATATAGTGTACACTCTGTAAATGTTTATGGAATGACAATGAGTGAATAGAAAAAGGAGTAGTGCAGTAGCCAAAATCCACAAGCTTATTTCACTGAATTCACTCTACTGTGGAACAACAGTAACCACATCCAATTTTTCAGTGAAAAATATTCTAAGAAGCATTTTCTTCAGTGCTAGATTATGTATTAATTAGAATAAAAGCATCATTGCCAGAATAGATATTACAAGGGGGCCCTAAAAATATATCTGTTTAGACACATCTCCACCAGCCTAAAAACATTTCCCAAGCCATGTGTCATCCACGAGGTGGCTCTTCCTGGCAATGAGAGATTAACACTCCTTAACCTTGAGGCTCCAGCTCTGTCTGTATTTGGTATCTCATAGACTCAAAGAAATGATGTTTCTCAGCAAAAAAATGAAGAATTATGACATTACTGAGAACACAGACAGCAGAATTTAATGGCTGCCTCTTCAGGATTTAGTAACTAGGACAACCAGTTTGTGGCTGATATTTCTACTCTAGATCTAAATTCCCAAGTGCAAATCTGATTGGGTCAGCAAGTCTCACATACCTGGGTCGTGGCCAAAGAATAGATCCTCAATGGGAAAACCAGATGTTTAACAAGACTAAGAGGAACATGTGCCAGACATGCAAAAAAATATTAATTAAAAAAAAAACATGACCACTTCAGCATCCTCCACCTCGACAGATGGAAAGTAGGAATTTCAACCAATGCAACAGAGCATGTCTAATTTAGAATTAGGAAGATGAGTGACATTACCATTTCAGGATATATTCTGAGAAGTCAGGGCACTCATTTGCAAATGACTGGTTTCCAATAGCTCCTAATTTCTTTCCATCACTTTCTCCCACATCAGTTTCCATCAACTGCAGACAGTGTCATAGGACCAGGGGAAAATAACTTCAAGTTTCTCAGAATACAGAGATAAATTCAAAAACATGTAAAAAACAGTGGGCTACTTATCAGTCACTATAGCAGACTTTTTAGGCTCCTAAATTGATTTTTCATTACCCCTGTTCTTCCTATTTGTAAGTCAAACTATGGTCTATTCTGCTTTATATCTTTGGAGATTTCTAGTCCTGGTTTACTAACTCTCTGTAATTTAAAATGTGGGTCAAGAGCAAGCTGCAAAGTCCTTTAATTAATTATGCTCTTCACAGCTTTAGAATTCTCCTTCCAGTGACAGCTCATCACCTACTGCTTCACTTTATTTTCTTAAGCCAACCAGAATAATTCTGCTTGCGTTTTGTCTCTTCCTTATATCCCATCAGTCACTCCAAAATCCTCCATAACAAACTTAAAGATTATAGTAGGAATTTTATACAAGTTTGACAAGAAACTCAGAACTGAGTGAAAACACAGTTATTAGAATTATCACAAATCTATAATACAAATTGAAATACTGGGACTATTTTCAATTATATGTGTAATTATTCAGGAAATAAAGCTAAATTATAATATTTAAAGGTTGAAATCAAATTGGAAGACAATGTTATCAAATCTTAAAGTTCTTCAGAGCTATTTATTTTGCACCAAATACTGTACATTCAGTTTTTAAATAACTTTACTTTTTAGAGAGGTTCACAGCAAAATGGAGAAGGTGCAGAACATATTCCCACATACTATACTCTTCGCCCCACACGTGCACAGCACCCCCAACCCCACCCCATTATCAACATCCCTCTCCAGAATGGTACCTTTGTTACAATGGGCAAACCTACACTGACATGTAATCACTCAAAGTCCATAGTTTACATGAGGGTTCACTCTTGGTGTCGTACATTCTATGTGTTTGTACAAATGTGTAATGGCATGTATCCACAATGACAGTATCATACAACATAGTTTCACTGCCCTAAAAATCCTGTATGCTCCACCTATTCATTCCTCCCTCTCCCCAACCCCTGGCAATTAATGATCTTTTCACTGTATTCATAGTTTTGGCTTTTCCAGAATCTCATATAGCTGGAATCATATGGCATTTAACCTTTCCAAATTAATCTTTCACTTAATTTCTTTCATGTATTTTTATCTTACATTTAATTTTTAATTCCCCAAACATTTATTGAGCACCTGTTGTGCTATGCTAGGAATTGGAATACGATGAGAAACAAAATAATTCACTGCCTAATTTCTACATTTATAGAATGTCTGGATGTAAGCAAAATAAAAAAGAGTAAATAAACAATTATATATAATGACAAATGAACATAGTTGTTTTTAAGGAAACAAATAAGGTACAATGTGTTTTGGGGTCTCTAATATCACTCTCAGGCTTGATGATTCACTAGAAAAATTCACAGGACTCAGAAAAGCAGTTACACTCACAGTTATGGTTTGTTACAGAGAAAGAATCCAACAAAGGGAAAACGCACCTGGGATAATTTCCATGAGGAGCCAAGCAAACTCCCAGGTGTCTCTCCCAGTGAAGTTACATGGGGATGTACTAATCCCTCTCAGGAATGATGTACAACAACACATATAGGTGTTACCAACCAGGGAAGCTCACCTGAGGCTTGGCGTCCAGGGTTTTCATTAGGGAGCCAGAAACAAAGACATGTAGCTCACTTGCCACTGGCCTCAACTACTCAGACTCTGGTTCCCTCAGCAAAAACAGGCACTCAACATAAATCACATTGTTAGCATAAGCTGTGTAACCAAAATGGCACTGTGTGGCACAAGGTGTCAGGCATACAAAATCCTCATATCAGGCAGAATATTCCCAAGGCTCAGAAGTTATCTTCCAGAGATGATCTAAAAACAGACCTTTCTTTGGAATGTGCAGAATGTGAGCACCTCAAGCTTGCTGAATTAACCCTTTACTGCACACTATGAAAGAGAGCAATGAGGTATATCTAGTTTAAATTGGTCCTTCAGGGATCCCCTCAATGAGGAAATAACATTTTATTTGAGACTTCAAGGATGAGCAGGCAAAAAGAAGAGTGTTTCAACCAGAGGGAGCAAGTGTGAACTTTCTTAGATGGCCCTTTAGGGAACTAAATTAAGGACAGTGTGTCAGAAAGAGGGGAGAATGGCTCAAGATAAGCACACAAAAGTAGCTAGGGACTAAATTGCAATAGTCTAAAAAGCCGTGTTAAATATAATTCTACTTTTATACATCCCAAATACAACAGAAAATCACTGGGGCATTTTAAGATTTTTTTAGGGTTTAAAAAATAATCCTGGCTTCTTCATAACAAATGCATTGGAAGGAATTAAGAGCAATATAGAGAGACCAGTTACAAGGCTACTAAAATAGTTCTAATAAAAAAGATGGCAGCTTGGACCAAGAGATGCAGTGAGGATGAAGTGAAATAGATATATTCAAAATATATTTTGAGGCTTAGAAATTTTAGGATCAGCCAGGTGTGGTGGCTCACGCCTGTAATCCTCGCACTTCTGGAGGCAGATCACCTGAGGTTGGGAGTTCGAGACCAGCCTGAACAATATGGAGAAACCGCATCTCTACTAAAAACACGAAATTAGCCGGGCATCATGGCACATGACTGTAATCCTAGCTACTCAGGAGGCTGAGGTGGAAGAATCGCCTGAACCCAGCAGGTGGAGCTTGCAGTGAGCAGAGTTCACACCACTGCATGCAGCCTGGGTGACAGAGCGAGATTCCATCTCAAAAAAAATAAAAAAGAAAAAGAAACAAATTTTAGGATCACTTCCATATTCCATATTTCTGCCTCGGACAAGTGAATTAATGGAGGATATACTTACTCTAGTGAGGAAGCCTGGAGGAAGATCAGATCCACAGAGGAAAAACCAGGAACTTAATACACTGAATACTTTTGGGACAGAGGAGCCAAGATGGCCGAAAAGGAACTGCTCAGGTCTACAGCTCCCAGCGTGAGTGACGCAGAAGACAGGTGATTTCTGCATTTCCATCTGAGGTACCGGGTTCATCTCACTAGGGAGTGCCAGACAGTGGGCACAGGTCAGTGGGTGCAGCGCACCGTGCACGAGCCGAAGTGGGGCGAGGCATTGCCTCACTCAGGAAGCGCAAGGGGTCAGGGAGTTCCCTTTCCTAGTCAAAGAAAGGGGTGACAGATGGCACCTGGAAAATCGGGTCACTCCCACCCGAATAATGCGCTTTTCCGATGGGTTTAAAAAACGGCACACCAGGAGATTATATCCTGCACCTGGCTTGGAGGGTCCTACGCCCATGGAGTCTTGCTGATTGCTAGCACAGCAGTCTGAGATCAAACTGCAAGGTGGCAGCGAGGCTGGGGGAGGGGTGCCCGCCATTGCCCAGGCATGCTTAGGTAAACAAAGCAGCCAGGAAGCTCCAACTGGGTGGAGCCCACCACAGCTCAAGGAGGCCTGCCTGCCTCTGTAGGCTCCACCTCTGGGGGCAGGGCACAGACAAATAAAAAGACAGCAGTAACTTTTGCAGACTTAAATGTCCCTGTCTGACAGCTCTGAAGAGAGCAGTGGTTTACCCAGCACACAGCTGGAGATCTGAGAACGGGCAGACTGCCTCTTCGAGTGGGTCCCTGACCCCTGACCACTGAGCAGCCTAACTGGGAGGCACCCCCCAGTAGGGGCAGACTGACACCTCACAGGGCTGGGTACTCCTCTGAGACAAAACTTCCAGAGGAATGATCACACAGCAGCATTCGCGGTTCACGAAAAACCACTGTTCTGCAGACACCGCTGCTGATACCCAGGCAAACAGGGTCTGGAGTGGACCTCTAGCAAATTCCAACAGACCTGCAGCTGAGGGTCCTGTCTGTTAGAAGGAAAACTAACAAACAGAAAGGACATCCACACCAAAAACCCATCTGTACATCACCATCATCAAAGACGAAAAGTAGATAAAACCACAAAGATGGGGAAAAAACAGAGCAGAACTGGAAACTCTAAAAAGCAGAGCACCTCTCCTCCTCCAAAGGATCGCAGTTCCTCACCAGCAATGGAACAAAGCTGGACAGAGAATGACTTTGACGAGTTGAGAGAAGAAGGCTTCAGACGATCAAACTATGAGCTACAGGAGGAAATTCAAACCAAAGGCAAAGAAGTTAAAAATTTTGAAAAAAAATTTAGACGAATGTATAACTAGAATAACCAATACAGAGAAGTGCTTAAAGGAGCTGATGGAGCTGAAAGCCAAGGCTCGAGAACTACGCGAAGAATGAAGAAGCCTCAGGAGCCAATGCGATCATCTGGAAGAAAGGGTATCAGCGATGGAAGACGAAATGAATGAAATGAAGTGAGAAGGGAAGTTTAGAGAAAAAAGAAGAAAAAGAAATGAACAAAGCCCCAAGAAATATGGGACTATGTGAAAAGACCAAATCTACGTCTGATTGGTGTACCTGAAAGTGACGGAGAGAATGGAACCAAGTTGGAAAACACTCTGCAGGATATTATCCAGGAGAACTTCCCCAATCTAGCAAGGCAGGCCAACATTCAGATTCAGGAAATACAGAGAACGCCACAAAGATACTCCTTGAGAAGAGCAACTCCAAGACACATAATTGTCAGATTCTCCAAAGTTGAAATGAAGGAAAAAATGTTAGGGGCAGCTAGAGAGAAAGGTCGGGTTACCCACAAAGGGAAGCCCATCAGACTAACAGCTGATCTCTCGGCAGAAACTCTACAAGCCAGAAGAGAGTGGGGGCCAATATTCAACATTCTTAAAGAAAAGAATTTTCAACCCAGAATTTCATATCCAGCCAAACTAAGCTTCATAAGTGAAGGAGAAATAAAATACTTTACAGACAAGCAAATGCTGAGAGATTTTGTCACCACCAGGCCTGCCCTAAAAGACCTCCTGAAGGAAGCACTAAACATGGAAAGGAACAACCGGTACCAGCTGCTGCAAAATCATGCCAAAATGTAAAGACCATCAAGTCTAGGAAGAAACTGCATCAACTAACAAGCAAAATAACCAGCTAACATCATAATGACAGGTTCAAATTCACACATAACAATATTAACCTTAAATGTAAATGGGCTAAATGCTCCAATTAAAAGACACAGACTGCCAAATTGGATAAAGACTCAAGACCCATCAGTGTGTTGTATTCAGGAAACCCATCTCACATGCAGGGACACACATAGGCTCAAAATAAAAGGATGGAGGAAGATCTACCAAGCAAATGGAAAACAAAAAAAGGCAGGGGTTGCAATCCTAGTCTCTGATAAAACAGACTTTAAACCAACAAAGATCAAAAGAGACAAAGAAGGCCATTACATAATGGTAAAGGGATCAATTCAACAAGAAGAGCTAACTATCCTAAATATATATGCACCCAATGCAGGAGCACCCAGATTCATAAAGCAAGTCCTCAGTGACCTACAAAGAGACTTAGACTCCCACACATTAATAATGGGAGACTTTAACACCCCACTGTCAGCATTAGACAGATTAATGAGACAGAAAGTCAACAAGGATACCCAGGAATTGAACGCAGCTCTGCACCAAGCTGACCTAATAGACATCTACAGAACTCTCCACCCCAAATCAACAGAATATACATTTTTTTCAGCACCACACCACACCTATTCCAAAATTGACCACATAGTCGGAAGTAAAGCTCTCCTCAGCAAATGTAAAAGAACAGAAATTATAACAAACTATCTCTCAGACCACAGTGCAATCAAACTAGAACTCAGGATTAAGAAACTCACTCAAAACCCCTCAACTAAATAGAAACTGAACAACCTGCTCCTGAATGACTACTGGGTACATAACGAAATGAAGGCAAAAATAAAGATGTTCTTTGAAACCAATGAGAACAAAAACACAACATACCAGAATCTCTGGGACACATTCAAAGCAGTGTGTAGAGGGAAATTTATAGCACTAAATGTCCACAACAGAAAGCAGGAAACATCCAAAGTTGACACCCTAACATCACAATTAAAAGAACTAGAAAAGCAAGAGCAAACACATTCAAAAGCTAGCAGAAGGCAAGAAATAACTAAAATCAGAGCAGAACTGAAGGAAATAGAGACACAAAAAACCCTTCAAAAAATTAATGAATCCAGGAGCTGGTTTTTTGAAAGGATCAACAAAATTGATAGACCGCTAGCAAGACTAATAAAGAAAAAAAGAGAGAAGAATTAAATAGACGCAATAAAAAATGATAAAGGGGATATCACCACCGATCCCACAGAAATACAAACTACCATCAGAGAATACCACAAACACCTCTACGCAAATAAACTAGAAAATCTAGAAGAAATGGATAAATTCCTCAACACATACACTCTCCCAAGACTAAAGCAGGAAGAAGTTGAATCTCTGAATAGACCAATAACAGGATCTGAAATTGTGGCAATAATCAATAGCTTACCAACCAAAAAGAGTCCAGGACCAGATGGATTCACAGCCGAATTCTACCAGAGGTACAAGGAGGAACTGGTACCATTCCTTCTGAAACTATTCCAATCTATAGAAAAAGAGGGAATCCTCCCTAACTCATTTTATGAGGCCAGCATCATCCTGATACCAAAGCCAGGCAGAGACACAACCAAAAAAGAGAATTTTAGACAAATATCCTTGATGAACATTGATGCAAAAATCCTCAATAAAATACTGGCAAACCGAATCTAGCAGCACATCAAAAAGCTTATCCACCATGATCAAGTGGGCTTCATCCCTGGAATGCAAGGCTGGTTCAATATACGAAAATCAATAAATATAATCCAGCATATAAACAGAACCAAAGACAAAAACCACATGATTATCTCAATAGATGCAGAAAAGGCCTTTGACAAAATTCAACAACCCTTCATGCTAAAAACTCTCAATAAATTCGGTATTGATGGGACATATCTCAAAATAATAAGAGCTATCTGTGACAAACCCACAGCCAATATCATACTGAATGGGCAAAAACTGGAAGCATTCCCTTTGAAAACTGGCACAAGACAGGGTTGCCCTCTCTCACTACTCCTATTCAACATAATGTTGGAAGTTCTGGCCAGGGCAATCAGACAGGAGAAGGAAATAAAGGGTATTCAATTAGGAAAAGAGGAAGTCAAATTGTCCCTGTTTGCAGATGACATGATTATATATCTAGAAAACCCGATCGTCGCAGCCCAAAATCTCCTTAAGCTGATAAGCAACTTCAGCAAAGTCTCAGGATACAAAATCAATGTACAAAAATCACAAGCATTCTTATACACCAATGACAGACAAACAGAGAGCCAAATCATGAGTGAACTCCCATTCACAATTGCTTCAAAGAGAATAAAATACCTAGGAATCCACTTTACAAGGGATGTGAAGGACCTCTTCAAGGAGAACTACAAACCACTGCTCAATGAAATAAAAGAGGATACAAAAAAATGGAAGAACATTCCATGCTCATGGGTAGAAAGAATCAATATCGTGAAAATGGCCTTACTGCCCAAGGTAATTTATAGATTCAATGCCATCCCCATCAAGCTACTAATGACTTTCTTCACAGAATTGGAAAAAACTACTTTAAAGTACATATGGAACCAAAAAAGAGCCCGCGTCACCAAGTCAATCCTAAGCCAAAAGAACAAAGCTGGAGGCATCACACTACCTGACTTCAAACTATACTACAAGGCTACAGTAACCAAAACAGCATGGTACTGGTACCAAAACAGAAATATAGATCAATGGAACAGAACAGAGCCTCAGAAATAATGCCGCATATCTACAACTATCTGATCTTTGAAACACCTGAGAAAAACAAGCAATGGGGAAAGGATTCCCTATTTAATAAATGGTGCTGGGAAAACTGGCTAGCCATATGTAGAAAGCTGAAACTGGATCCCTTCCTTACACCTTATACAAAAATCAATTCAAGATGGATTAAAGACTTAAACGTTAGACCTAAAACCATAAAAACCCTAGAAGAAAACCTAGTCATTACCATTCAGGACATAGGCACGGGCAAGGACTTCATGTCTAAAACACCAAAAGCAATGGCAACAAAAGCCACAATTGACAAATGGGATCTAATTAAACTAAAGAGCTTCTGCACAGCAAAAGAAACTACCATCAGAGTCAACAGGCAACCCACAAAATGGGAGAAAATTTTTGCAACCTACTCATCTGACAAAGGGCTAATATCCAGAATCTACAATGAACTCAAACAAATTTACAAGAAAAAAACAAACAACCCCATCAAAAAGTGGGAGAAGGACATGAACAGACACTTCTCAAAAGAAGACATTTATGCAGCCAAAAAACACATGAAAAAATACTCACCATCACTGGCCATCAGAGAAATGCAAATCAAAACCACAATGAGATACCATCTCACACCAGTTAGAATGGCAATCATTAAAAAGTCAGGAAACAACAGGTGCTGGAGAGGATGTGGAGAAACAGGAACACTTTTACACTGTTGGTGGGACTGTAAACTAGTTCAACCATTGTGGAAGTCAGTGTGGCGATTCCTCAGGGATCTAGAACTAGAAATACCATTTGACCCAGCCATCCCATTACTGGGTATATACCCAAAGGACTATAAATCATGCTGCTATAAATACACATGCACACGTATGTTTATTGCGGCACTATTCACAATAGCAAAGACTTGGAACCAACCCAAATGTCCAACAATGATAGACTTGATTAAGAAAATGTGGCACATATACACCATGGAATACTATGCAGCCATAAAAAACGATGAGTTCATGTCCTTTGTAGGGACATGGATGAAATTGTAAATCATCATTCTCAGTAAACTATCTCAAGAACAAAAAACCAAACACCGCGTATTCTCACTCATAGGTGGGAATTGAACAATGAGAACACATGGACACAGGAAGGGGAACATCACACTCTGGGGACTGTTGTGGGGTGGGGAGAGTGGGGAGGGATAGCACTCGGAGATATACCTAATGCTAGATGACGAGTTAGTGGGTGCAGCGCGTCAGCATGTCACATGTATACATATGTCACATCCCACCGTAAATAGAAAAAGGATCAGAATAAAAGTGATTTTATCTAAGACCATCACTGCTTCATTAACTATTTACTAAACAACATAATTTATTTTTTTCCCAAACCCCTCACTCAGCAATCTTTTTTTTTTTTTTTTTTTTTTTTTTTTTTTTTGAGACGGAGTCTCGCTCTGTCGCCCAGGCTGGAGTGCAGTGGCGCGATCTCGACTCACTGCAAGCTCCGCCTTCCGGGTTCACGCCATTCTCCTGCCTCAGTCTCCCGTGTAGCTGGGACTACAGGCGCGCGCCACCATGCCCAGCTAATTTTTGTATTTTTAGTAGAGACTGGGTTTCATCGTGTTAGCCAGGATGGTCTCGATCTCCTGACCTCGTGATCTGCCCGTCTCGGCCTCCCAAAGTGCTGAGATTACAGGCGTGAGCCACCGCGCCCGGCCTCACTCAGCAATCTTGATACAGGGTAGTCACTAGCCACCTTTTATACTATGCTAAAAGGGAAAACTAGTATCTTCTCTCTGGTTGTGCTTTCTTTCTCCCTCCACGAAGAAACGGTGACTATATGAGGAAAAGCAAAGCAGAGAATGCACTTATTTTAAGAATTCAAAGTAAATTAACAGTAAGCCTAAGATTCTTGATGTGCAGAGACTTAGGGGTTGTAGTCCACCACCTGTATCAATATGTAAGTACAACTCTAAGGGTCAGGCTAATTCAGCACATATTAAACTACTTTCAAGATGGCAGTCACAAAGACCTGTAAGTTTAAAAGTTTAAAACCCAGCATCAGAGCAGTAACGTATAAAGGAATGACCAGCAGGCACATAATAAATACAGGGCTCTCTCAGATTTTAAGTCTTTTGTCACGTATCATTTTTTTTTCTTTTTACACCAACAAAGCAAGAGTAAATGTCATGTATAATTTCTAACACCTTTACTTTTATTCTTTTTACCTGATATTTTTAATTTTTATTCATTTATCAGGTGACTAAAAGATTTCAAAATGTATTTTCCTTAAATTCTAACCAAGAGGGTAATAGCCTAGATAAGGTTAGCAAAAATAAGCATAACTTAGAAAGGAGAGTTCTCCAATAGACAATTTGTATCCTACTATCAAAGTTCTCAATACATGGCCAGTGCCTGAGATAGGCACATCATACTTCTTTTGACCACCTTGGCAATAACATTTATTTTCAAATAAGCCATTATAGTTTCAATTGATACAGATGATCTTGTCATACAGTAAACTTGCAGATAAGATCTATATCACCTGTTTTGCACTACTTACTCAATTTAGGTAACCTTCTACCTTATCAACTACAACTCATCATGATTATTACTCAGTGTGTTTGTCCCTTAAGTCTTTTACTAAGAAATAGCATTTAGCATATTATTTTATTGCTGGAGGCCCTCCACAGTTGATCAATATGTCTTTGTTTCATATTGCCTTTTCCAAAAAGATTAATGTATAAAATGCATCATTTAAAAAATCAACTAATAAGTATGGACGTTTTGAAGTCACACTGAAAGTTGTATCAGTATATAATCTTAGGGGAAGCAAATTATGGAGCATCCATTAATAAAACACATTGGAGTCATAGAAAGTAACTTTTCTTTGCTATTAGATCTGTTGCCCTATTTGTTCAAATAGAAGATGCTTTAACGTTTTCTTCAAGCACAGCTGACATCACTTGAGTGCTTCTCTTTAGGCAAAAGAAACATTATTCCATTCCAATGCATTTCTACCAAAGGGCAAGTCTGTTCCAATAACTTTTTAGATGGCCAATGCAGAGCTTTTCCTTGGGAGCTCTGGTTCACTTGTTTGATCTACACTGATTTGTGCTGACATGTAAATGGGTGCCAGTCACTTAGAAAAGTAAATCTTTGTGAACTTTAAGATCAATTGAAATGATCTATGGATTAGTTAGCTGTTGAACTACTATGGTTGTTGCAAATTTTGATTTTATAAAAGGAATTTAAAAATAAACAGGCAAGGGAAGAAAGACGTTTTCTGCTCCTGGATCCTGAGGGTACACATCAGGGATTCAGAGTCAAATTTGCTTCTTCTGCATCACAGAATGCTTCACTCTGAGTTCCCAGGAAGTTTAGGGTTAGGTCATGCTACAGAGCCTGAAACGATTCAAAAGCTCACGGTCAACAGAAGTTACTATTGATAGGCAAGATATTTTGAAAAGAAAATGAGCATTTAGTGATTAATAATCTGGACCAGCAGATATTCCAAAGCCCTTTTTGCTCTTAATTTTTAAATAAAGTCATCTTAAAGCAGTTAACAATATAAACATATCAGTGGACTTTTGGACCCAAGTACATATATTGTGTTGTGTTTCAGTGTACGGTGTATTTTTTAATTTAGTCTATTACAAACCTAAATAGAGTTGAGGTTGCCAAGAGTCTAATCTTTCAATAATGTGTTACAGTAATTCAATTATTTTAGTAAATTGCATGATGCTATATACACTAAATGGCCTAAAGAACTAGGGATTAATCAGTTATAATAAAAACCCCAAATATAATTAAATACATAGGTAACTGTGTAGCTAACAAAAACTTAGTAACTAGTACTTTCATTCTGTTCAAATTGCCCGGGAGTGAGGCCACTAAAAATGTTTAGCAAACTGGATTCCTAATGGGCATTAGGTGTTCAAAAATGTTTCCACAATTAATGTCATTCATTAACTTGGCCTTTGAAAGCTTTCACCAAATATTCACTTCCACATAATTACTTTAACTAAAACTCAGTCATCTTATATTGAACATACAAACTGGAATGTAGAAATAGGATTTTTTTATCTCCTCAGCTTTATAAGGTTTATTTCTAGACTTCTAGAAATCACCTTTGTGCTCTAATGTCTAATATTTTGAGATTTTCTTTCCTATGATTTATATAAAATTCTCAAATGTTATATAGTTTATATCTTGTATATATAATCCCACAGATGGCACAAGGTTTCCTGGCCCTAAGGCAATATGTATGTTTTAAATCAGCCAAATGGGTAACTTCAAAGTAAAAGGTCAAAGGAGGTGTTGTGATGGAAGTCAGTGAGAAAATATGTGCAATTATAAACCATGCGAGAAGAAAATGAAAGGTTGGGTTCAAAAGGTTAGGAGTCAAGGATCCACCAATAACCTATATCCACATTTTACTAATACTCTCTGTATAGTTCATTCCTTTTTCATTTAATCAATTTATTCTCATGATTTTATAACGATGTCTGTGTGCCCATTGCGTGTCATAGCCAAAACTGTTCTCTAATGATAAATCCCATTAGGGCAGGAATATGTCGTTTTAATTTTCTCCAAACAACTCCCAGAACAGTTAAATGCCAAAGATAAGCTTGCTTTTACTTAGTGACAAGGATTCTTTTATTGTATACCATCTTCCCTCTTCACAAAGTCCTTTCAATTCAAAAATCGTTCTATAATATTGGCAATATTGGGATCGGATCTTGCAGAGACCTCATTGCCGCTCCGCTCCAAGAACCATTGGCTTTTTTTCCCCCCACTTCAAGGAAACACACTGGAGGCACAAAGACAAAGAGTCTGCTTGAGTCAACTCGAAGGCAGTTTCTCACGTGTGGAGCTCACATATGGTTACTGAACAGAGGGAGGAATGTACCCTGCTTGTTTTTGAAGTGTTTGGGTAATTTTGTTTGTGCTGCCATATGGCACCACACCCCTCTGCCCATATTTCAAATCTTTTGTGTGTGTGTTTTCTTTAAACTTTAGGAGTCCAGGCATACTTATAAAAAGAAGACAAGAAGTTATAGTTTGGAGATTTAATTATCTTCATATGTTGAGGACCCAAGACATCCATACCCCCTTATTCCACATTTAGTCACATGGACTCACTTGGGGTGCCTATTTTTATTTCTGCACCAAATCATTGCTGTTGATGCTCATAATGAGAATGATACCTCCTACAGACAGGAAGCGGGTAATCGTGGGACGATTCTCAGATGTAGGGATTCAAATTGGCAGCAAAGCACATACTATGATTCATTTAAAACAGCATTTTACATCCAAAAAGAAGGAAGAGACCTGTGCAATTATCAGTGATATAACTTTTAAGCTTTAAGATATTGCCTGGTAATTTTGATAATAGAACTTAATGGGGTGAAAACCAGTCTTGAGAATTTAATGAAATGTATCTGTTTGGGACTCAAATTGATAAACATTTTAAACTGCACATAAAAACATTATCTTCCAAACACTAAGACAGTCACACAATTTAAAAAGTAAATATAACTTTCAAAATGTTTTCTTCCTCATTAAATGTCAGTTGCTTCAAGAAGCAAACACCAATGTGTAGAGTTAAAAGACAATCTTCTCCCTGATGAGAGAGTTTCTCAGACATAAGTCTTTGTCTCACCCATCTCCAAATAAAAACTTTTGGTCTAAGGAATGGCTCTTAAAATGAGCCACCTCCTCTATCCCAGCTAGTCAGAAACTGTTTGTTAGTCCCTTTTGCTGTCTCCTTGCTATAAAGAGACCACCCCCCCATTAAGGTTTAGTGGAGCTCCTTCTTCTTTTGTCCTTTCTCAAGGAGTTTACATAGATGTGTGAGGGATAAACCAAAACCTGAGACAAGGGAGGTTTCGCCTTTGTACCACATAAATGGGTACAACTATAACGTATCGATAAAAAATAAAATTTAAAATAAGGGACCTTAAAAAAAAACTAATTGAAGCCCAAGCACAAGATACCAATGGAAAGCAATACTTAGAGGTAAATTCTTCATATCCAGAGTTTTCTGGCAAACCTAGACTTTTTAAAAAAAAACATTAGATTGGTCAGAATTTTTTAAACTAGAAATCATGAACAACTTGTATGCATAGAAGCAAGGTTGTCAACTTCTATTTGCATTTTAGTATCTCTGCCAGTAAGCTATAGATTGGCAATTTTCCATTTGGAGAGCAGTGAATGATAATGGCATAATTAATATTAATAGAGCCATTACATCTCTACAAATCATTCACATATTTAAATGAAATCCCCATCTTACTCTCTCTGGGCTATTTTTGC
Organism: Homo sapiens; assembly: GCF_000001405.40. Lineage (NCBI taxonomy): Eukaryota > Metazoa > Chordata > Mammalia > Primates > Hominidae > Homo > Homo sapiens. The sequence goes on from NC_000005.10 coordinate 118,394,101, forward strand.
ATTGATATTATTATAACCTTTAGATCTCTATTTTAACTTCTGAAAGCAATTTACCTCATCAGTTTAATATCAAAGACAAAACTGACAAACCTCATTTAAATATAATTTTCATTTCTTATCTCTTTCAAGATTTCAGACTTTTCCTTATAACAGGCACCCTATTGGTACATCTCTTGGCTTTTGAAAATTGCTCACATATTATCTCCATCTATGTGTATCCCAACTAGGCAGGGCTCTGGTAAAATTCAGAGAGGTCTCTTTCTTAAGAAATAAAGCAGAATAAGAAAAATCAGATGGTGGACCAGATGGCAGGACAGGCAATATCAGCTCTCAATATTTTATTTACTTCACACACCTCACCTGGAATCTCCTAAGTAAAGAGAGGTTGCATATGCACTTGTTAGATGCAATACTGGACAGAATGTCAGAGTGAAACCACAGTGAAGGAACAGGATGGGTGCCCTTTACTGAAACAAAGCTCTGAATCTGGGTTGAATCTCTCTTCAGCCCTCATGATGATTCTTTCAATGGGTTGAAACCTTTCCATACGGTTGCTGATCCCTAATGAAAGACAGAGTCCAAAGACAGGGAACTATTTGATCAATAAAATTTGAGAGCTCATAAAGAGTAGACTTGATCTAAAATTTTGAAATGAGGAACAAATGTAAGAAAAAAAAAATGTTCGTGTGTGTGTGTGGTGTGTGTGTGTATCTGTCTTTGGATTTCTTACTAATTTGTACTAAAGGTAAACATTCTTATACCTAATTTAAAGGAATACAATTTTCATGAAAGAACCCAGAATATTTGTAGTATAGGAAGAAATTACCCCAATCTTGAACAAAATCTCTTTTAAAACTTGAGTAAAAATTTTACAATTTAAATTGATTGTTTAAATAATTTAGTCACTTCCAAATTTCTTTTGAGACTTTTAATATAGGCTATTACCAACAACAGCATTGAATTCTTCTCTGACAAACAGAAGAGAATTGGAGAACAAATTGATGATACTTTCTTATCTAGGATTGGCTCTTTAAATCTATTTTAAATTTAAAAATATAAATATCCACTCAAATCCTTTTACATAGTCACCTCTGTGCTAATAACTTGCATTTTAAAATTTTCAAATGCACATGGTTTGTAATTTTAGTCTGAGGTCATAGAGCTAGAAGACCATACTACAAAGAATATAGGCTCTTGAAAATTATTAAGACCTGGGTTGTAATTTAGGCTTCCCTGCTCATTATCTGCTTGACTTGGTAAAGTTCACTTCACCTTTCTGAGCTCCAGATTGCAAGATAGTTCTGAGGCTCACCTGCGATGATGCGTAAAAATAAAATTCCTTAGGCAATTGCTGACACATAATACACTACTGATAAATTTTAATTATGTTTTCATTGGTGACCAATCCAAAGAAAAATTCAATCTTTAACCTTAGCTTCTTTGGTACTTTACCCCCACCAAATAAGTTCAAGACCCCATGTTAATATTGTCTGTGACCTCAGTAATATGATCTTGGATTAAATAAGATAATACACCTGAACAGCTCTGAAATCTCTTTTAATGTACTCTTTGGTATGAGTTCAATAAAATAGTCACCTAATGGCCTGAAAATTATAGCAAGAGCTTCCCTAAACTGATGGTTGAGACCACAGAAACGAGATCAGTCACTAGTATTTATTTCAAACTTATACTCTGCTGCATATTTTATTAAGTTTAACTCCTTAAATCCTCTCAACTCTACTAGCTAAGTGCAGTTATTACTCTCATTTCTCAAGAAACAAATTTAGATTAATGATGTGCTCTAGATAGTAACAATCCTAGAACAATATGACTACACATGCACAATTACATAACACTGAAGTATAATAGTGGTTACTTGATTCCAAGTGGACCCCAAATTTGTTGAAATTCAGAGCCTAATAAAATTGATTTTCCTAAACTTAAATGAAATAGCTATCTTCTGTTTTCGTGGGAAGAAGCTCCTCAACTTCACAAGATGTTCAAAAATAGCATCAACTCCATCCAAAAGCTCCATTTCTGATGATGGGGAGTGGGAAGAGTGTGCATGTGTGTAATATTTTATTTCTGTGGCTTGTTGAGCTACTACTAATATTATTCAGTCTATATTGAAAATGTTAAGATTGTGGTAGAAATTTCATGCTGGGAATTTAAAGTTTCCATTTGTCTTCAAACTGCCTTAGATCTACTAACTACAGTTCTTAAAACCAAACCACACTCTTTGACCATCATGATGTCTGTCTGGAAAAATTTAGAAATTATTAAAATAACACAACACGTAAGCAAAAGTACATCTGAACCTTTTTCTCTCCATTATCTGTGTCTCTGAATTGTGCTTATTGTTTTGATTTCATATCATGATGATGTGTGGTTAGGCTTGACAGAAATTAAACTCTCACTGGCCAGCCTTCAAGAAGCGATCTCTTTAGCTGTAAGATATGTTACAGCTTCTATCTTTATTTTCAGGTTTTTAACTTCAGAAAGCATCTTCATTACATCAGGAAGACCATATTCCTATGTGATTAAACTGAGTCAGTATATCTACTTCAATAACTTTAAGTCAGATTTTGCAATATGTTGATAAAAAAGCAGGAGGTGATTGTAGTTTCTCTAAAAAGACTGATTGCACAGCAGGCATTAGGGAAAAAATGACAATAATCACAACTCCAGCTGCATAAATACACTTCATGTGCTGTCTTGTATGTTTAGCAGTTCAAGATGAATGGGAAAACGTGGCCTGGAAGAAATACTCTATTTTGATAATATGTAGTAAGGATCTGCACTTGCATGCTATTATGGCTATGCCATCTCCACTGCTGTGTCACTGAACATCTGAAGAAAAGAAAGATATACACATGATGAATTCAATCTACTTTAGGAATCTGGTGATTTTTTTACTTCTGAGTACACAATGGACAAGGTGTCCTAAGATCAGAGTTAAAGTTTAAGGAAGAGCCACATGAAAAGGTTCATGGCTCACATGAAAGATCATGTGAATATATATATAGTGATATAATAATTAAGTCAATTTTACGCTCAGCTTGACTTTTCTGATTGAACTCACAGATTATCAATCAAAAATTCATGACTGAACTGACTGTTAACTGAGCTGTCAGGACATATGGGTTAATATAGAAGAATCAGTCAATTATAAGAGGCTACGTCTCCTGAGATGAGACTTAGAGATGTTTCAAGAGGGAACTAGGTACTGAAAAAGGGGAAAGGTATCACTTTCAATCATTTTTACATAGTCCCAAAACCTTGAAACTAGGTATCTCTCAGGCTTGCTCTCCAATTTGATTTTCAGGGCCTGCCAAGGCTAGTCAGTAAGATTTATTAGATTTCTTGTGCTAAAATGAACACAGATGAAGTGTTAAAAATGAAACAGATTATTTGAAAGTTGCAGTGGACTGTCTGAGTCATCAGCAGTCAGTGTGTCAATCATCACGTGGACACTGAGCATCCACATGTTATACAGCAGCGTAGTCAACTGAAATGTGATTGGAATCGTCAGGATGACCCATTAGACTCTTGAAACAGCATATAGAAAGCTTCTATGATTAAATTCCCAACAGCACCCATCCTTTTTGTGTGATTATGCACAAAGATTAAGTGAGATTAAGTATATAAAGTTTCTAACATACTGTGTGGCTTATAGTAAGCACCAAACAAATATTAGTTATTATTACAAGTATGAGAGAGAGATTTTTAAAAGGTTGGATGGTTAGAAGAGCGTTAAAAAGTGAGACATCAAGATACAACAAAATTTTGGGAAACTGATAAATCAAAAAGCCAAATACAAATTCAGTATAGTTTTTAAAATGTTTGAAGTGTTTCTTAATATGCTTATTCGGGTAATTTTTTTTCCTCCAAGAAAGATGTCAGTAGTGTGTAACTCCTTTAAGACAGCTATAGAACTCTGACATACAAGCAAGAGATTTCCTAGAAGCTGAAGTAAAGATTGTCCTCAACTTAATCAAGTCAGTATTGACTTTCTGATAAATGTCTTTGTTTTATGTTATTAGTACCCTCATATTATCTTATTTTTCATATGTTTATCTTTCACTTCTTCTCTATAGAGCATTAGGTTATTAAGGTACAAGTACATTTTCTTATGCTTCTGGGTTTTTATTCCCCCATCCTCTTTATTATACTTTAAGTTCTAGGGTACATGTGCTACACCCATTAACTCATCATTTACATTAGGTAATTCTCTTAATGCTATCCCTCCCTCCTCCCCCCTCCCCCGACCCCACAACAGGCCCCAGTGTGTGATGTTCCCCACTCCTTGTCCAAGTATTCTGTTTTTAACTTTTACAACAGGGCCTTCCCAAAGGGACACACCGAATAAATATTTGCTTGTGTGAAAATATTACCAATTTTCTTTTCCATTATATCAGTATTATTACATTTATTTTCTATGTTGTTATTGAGTATAAACTCCTTTCACATATTAATTGTTTGGTCAAATTTCCTTATAAGTTTTCAAATACTGTTAAAAGGTAGTAAACAATAAAAAAAAAAAATCACATACAAAATCACATATCTGAAAGGTATATACCCATCCTTGTGAAATATTTTCTAACACTAAAAAAAGAAAAGTCAAAATAAAGCTTTTCTACTATGATTTCAAAAAACAAATTTTAAAGTAGTAGATTGAAGTAATTTTGCTGCCAAAATTACAGTGTTATTTTTTCAGAAATATAGGAATAAGAAGTTCATTGTTTATCTGTTTCACTTCCCACAATTTGATATGTAGCAAAAAAAGAACTTGAATATTCAAACCAACAGATACATCTAGCCTAGTGTTTCTATAACTCTATTTCTGTATTGCTACCTGAAATATATTAAGAAAATATATTACAGAAAATACATTTTTATAGATTTAGTGAAAGGATGAAAACAAAGTAGCTTAGTCCCAGATAAATCTAAAATGCCAATTGCCAGTGCCTACAGTGAGATGCTTTCTAAGACACAGAATATTTAGTTCTGAGCAAACTGGGTCTCTTGGTAAGAATCAAAAAAAAAAGAGAGAGAGAGAAAGAGCCTAAATAGGATGTTAAGTAGGATGAATTCTGCTCTCATGCAATAGTCTGGGTTCAATATACAAAGGGCTCTTTTGATGTGAAAACTATTATCAATCCTAACATCATACCATTTGACTCCAGGCTGCTAATGTAGAATGTGCATTTCTGCTAACCCAAAATGGAAATGCCATCTATGTTTCTGTGGCTGTTTACCTGATGACATGCCAATTCACCCTCATGTGCCTTCAAAGAAATTCAGGAAATGGAGAAATAAATAGAATGCAAGTGATTCAGAAGACAAATGGCTATCTGCTCTCTCTTTCAGTTCTATTTCTTTACTGGACCTTCTCTTCCTTGGAGGAGTGCAGCTAATGTAGATAATTCTTCTTCCAGCCAGAAATGAGAAGGATGCCAAACTATATACAAAACAAAGGCAACAACAGCAACTGTGTACGTGCAAGCACATGGACATTATTAGAAATGTAAACCTATTTCATTGAAAGATGATTTCCACCTAGAGAAAAACAACCCATCTTACCTGTAAGAGAAGAGTAAAATAATGGACTGAGCCACACCCACATGTCAAAGTCCCTAGAAATGACACTAAATTATACATAAGTTAAATCTGTAACAGCCCCTCAAATCAAGAAGTGTCAAAAAGGACCTAAAATTATCACAAAATCCTACAAACTAGAAGACAGATAATAGTATAAGAAACCACAGCTCAAAAGGTATGCAAGTCATTCTGCTAAAATGCTTACAGCGGGAGACATAGGGAGCAGGAGATGGCCCGTGGCATCCATCAGGCTGTTTGGTAAGATGCATATGGGTCCTCAAGGACCCATCCTGCCCTCAAATTATGGTAAACAAAAACACCAGCCTACAGGAGTGATGGGGAGCTTGCAGTTGAAAGGCCGATCATCCAGGGCACTGGTGATGATGCAGAAGTATGGGGAAACCACTGACCAGAAGATGAAAAACCCCTTCCTATCACCCCACAGCATATGTTTTTTCCCCTCAAAGAAATAGATTATATTTAAAAAATTGATTTGTTTCACAATAGGAGCTCCAACTGATTACTTATTTTTAAAGCAATTCATCATTTTACCTTGGTTCACTCAGTGTAACAGAAGATAAGGTAAAAATTGGACAAACATTGGGATTACATGTTGTTACAGAGCAATCATTGAGAATTCATGGAAATAAACTGATTCAACAGACATGTCAGTCAGGTTTTATGGAAGAATTTACCTAAATTCAGTATTAAAAAACAGATAAGTATAATAAAGACTTGAAAAATAAATGGGAGTAACTTTGTAGAAAAATTTCAAGTTTTATTTTAGATGCCAAGGGTACATGTGCAGGTTTGTTACCTGGGTATATCACATGATGCTATAGTTTGGGGTATGGATCCCATTTCCCAGGTAGTGAGCACTAGTAGTTTTTCAACTCACACCCTTCTCCCTTCCTCCTTCTTTAGTAGTCTCCAGAGTCTACTATTCTTGTCTTTACGTCCTTATATTCAATGTTTAGCTACCACTTACAAGTGAGAACATGTGGTTGGTTTTCTGTTCCTACATTAATTTGTCTAGGATAAAGGACTCCAGCTGCATCCATGTTGCTGCAAAAGACATATTTTGTTCTTTTACATGGCTGCATGTTATTCCATGGTGTAGATATACCACATTTTCTTTATCCAATCCACCATTTGTGGACACCTTGGTTGATTCCATGTCTTTGCTATTGTGAATAGCACTGCTGTGAATATTCAAGTGCATTTGTCTTTTTTATAGAACGATTTATTTTCTTATGGGTATACCACCATGGGTATTGTTGGCTTGAATGGTAGCTCTGTTTTAAGTTCTTTGAGAAATCTCTGGACTTCCTCCCAGGTTGGCTGAACTAATTTACATTCCCACCAACAGTGTATGAGCATTCTCTTTTCTCCACAGCCTTGCCAACATCTGTTATTTTTTGACTCAATAGCCATTCTGACTGGTGGTTTTGATTTGCATTTCTCTGATGATTAGTGATGATGAGCATTATTTTCATGTGTTTGCTCACTTGTATGTCTTCTTTTGGGAAGACAATGTTCATGTTGTTTGCCCATTTTTTTCTTTTCATTTTAAGTTATTGGGGACATGTGCAGGATGTGCAGATTTGTTACACAGGTAAATCTGTGCCATGGTGGCTTGCTGCATCTATCAACCTCTCACCTAGGTACTAAGCTCATTTTTAATGGGGTTAATTTGTTTACATTCCTCATAGATTCTAGATATTAGACCTTTGCCAGAAGCATAGTTTGTGAATTTTTCTCCCATTCTCTAGGTTGTCTGTTTACACTATGAATGCTTTATTTTCTGTGTAGAAAATCTTTAGTTCAATTAGGTCTCACTTGTTCTTGTTAGAATTGCTTTTGAGGACTTAGCCAAAAATTATTTGCCAAGGCCAATGTCAAAGCAGGTATTCCCTAGGTTTTCTTTTAGGATTTTTATAGTTTGAGTTCTTTTTATTTCATTTTAAAGTTCCAGGACACATTTGCAGAATGTGCAGGTTTGTTACATAGGAAAACGTGTGCTATGGTGGCTTGCTGCACCTATAAACCCATCACCTAGGTATTAAGCCCAGCATGCATTAGCTATTATTCCTAATGCTCTCTCTCCCCCACCCAAAACACCCCCAGCAGGCCCCAATGTATGTTGTTCCCCTGTCTATGTGTTCACATTGTTCAGCTCCCACTTATAAGAACACACAGTGTTTGGTTTTCTGTTCCTGTGTTAGTTTGCTGAGGATAACGGCTCCTAGCTCCATCCATGTCCCTGCAAAGAACATGAACTTCTTCCTTTTCATGGCTGCATAGTATTCCAAACACGTGTATACATGTGTAAATGCACCACATTTTCTTTATCCAGTCTATCATTCATGGGCATTTGGGTAGATTCCATGTCTTTGCTATTGTGAATCGTGTGCAGTGAACATACAAATGTATGTATTGTTATAACAGAATGATTTATATTCCTTTGGGTATATACCCATTAATGAGATTGCTGGGTCAAATGGTATTTCTGGTTCCAGGTCTTTGAGGAATCACCACACTGCCTTCCACAATGGTTGAACTAATTTACATTCCTACCAAGAGCATAAAGGCCGTGTTATTTCTGCAAACCCTCACCAGCATCTCATCTCTTGACTTTTTAAATATCACCATTATGACTGATGTGAGATGTTATCTCATTGCAGTTTTGATTTGCATTTCTCTAATGATCAGTGATATTGAGCTTTTTTCATGTTTGTTGGCTGCAAATGTCTTTTTTTAAGAAGTGCCTGTTCATGTCCTTTGCCCACTTTTTAATGGATTTGTTTTATTCTTGTAAATTAAGTTTCTTATAGATTCTGAATATTAGACCTTTGTCAAATGAATAGATTGCAAAAATTGTCTCCCATTCTGTAAGTTGTCTGTTCACTCTGAAAGTTTCTTTTGCTTTGCAGAAGCTCTTTAGTTTAATTAGATCCCATTTGTGAACTTTTGCTTTTGTTGCAATTGCTTTTGATTTTTTGTCATAAAGTACTTTCCTGTGCCTATGTCCTAAATGGAAATGCCTAGGTTTTCTTCTAGGGTTTTTATAGGTTTGGGTTTTGCATTTAAGTCTTAATCCATCCAGTTTCAATTTTCTTCATATGGCTAGTCAGTCCTCCCAGCACCACTTATTTTTTATTATTTTTATTATACTTTAAGCTTTAGGGTACATGTACACAATGTGCAGGTTTGTTACATATGTATACATGTGCCATGCTGGTGTGCTGCACCCATTAACTAGTCATTTAGCATTAGGTATATCTCCTAATGCTATCCCTCCCCCCTCCCCCCACCCCACAACAATCCCCAGAGTGTGATGTTCCCCTTCCTGTGTCCAAGTGTTCTCATTGTTCAATTCCCACCTATGAGTGAGAACATGTGGTGTTTGGTTTTTTGTCCTTGTGATAGTTTACTGAGAATGATGATTTCCAATTTCATCCATGTCCCTACAAAGGACATGAACTCATCGTTTTTTATGGCTGCATAGTATTCCATCGTGTATATGTGCCACATTTTCTTAATCCAGTCTATCATTGTTGGACATCTGTGTTGGTTCCAAGTCTTTGCTATTGTGAATAGTGCCACAATAAACATACGTGTGCATGTGTCTTTATAGCAGCATGATTTATAGTCCTTTGGGTATATACCCAGTAATGGGATGGCTGGGTCAAATGGTATACAGGCAACCTACAAAACGGGAGAAAATTTTCGCAACCTACTCATCTGACAAAGGGCTAATATCCAGAATCTACAATGAACTCAAACAAATTTACAAGAAAAAAAACAAACAACCCCATCAAAAATTGGGCAAAGGATATAAGCAGACACTTCTCAAAAGAAGACATTTATGCAGCCAACAGACACATGAAAAAATGCTCTTCATCATTGGCCATCAGAGAAATGCAAATCAAAACCGCAATGAGATACCATCTGCCACCAGTTAGAATGGCGATCATTAAAAAAGTCAGGAAACAACAGGTGCTGGAGAGGATGTGGAGAAATAGGAACACTTTTACACTGTTGGTGGGACTGTAAACTAGTTCAACCATTCTGGAAGTCAATGTGGCGATTCCTCAGGGATCTAGAACGAGCACCACTTACCATATAGGGAATCCTTTCTCCTCCATTGCTTGATTTTGTAAGGTTTGTTAAAGATCAGATGGTTGTAGACGTGTGGTCTTATATCTGAATGCTCTGTTGTGTTCCATTGGTCTGTGATCTGGCCTTTTTTCTGGCTGCCCTTAATACTTTTTCTTTCATTTTGACCTTGGAGAATTTGATGATTATGTGTCCTGGAGCTGATCTTCTCATGCAATATTTTACTAGGGTTCTCTGGATTTTCTGAATTTGAATGTTGGCCTGTCTTGCTAGATTGGGAAAGTTCTCCTGGATGATATCCTGAAGTGTGTTTTCTAACTTGTTTCTATTCTCCCTCTTTCAGGTACCCCAATCAGTTTTCGGTTTGGTCTTTTTACATAATTCCATAGTTCTCGGGGGATCTGTTCATGCCTTTTCATTCTCTTTTCTCTAATCTTGTCTGCCTGTCTTATTTCAGTAAGATAGTCTTCCAGCTCGAAATTCTTTCCTCCACTTGGTCTGTTTGGCTATTGATACTTATGGTTGCATTTTGAAGTTCTAGTGTTGTGATTTTTAGCTCCATCAAGTCATTTATGTTCTTCTCTAAACTGGTTATTCTGGTTAACACACCCTGTAGTGTCTTATCATGGTTCTTAGTTTCTTTACATTGGATTAGAACATGCTCCATTAGTTCAGTGAAGTTTGTTATTACCCACCTTCCGAAACCCACTTCTTTCAGTTTATCCATCTCACCATCAGCCCAGTTCTTTGCCCTTGCTGGAAAGGTGTTATGATCATTTGCAGGAGAAGAGGCACTCTGGTTTTTTTTGTGGATGCTTTCTCATCTTCATGACTTTATCTACCTTCCATCTTTGAGGCTGTTGACCTATGGATGGGGTTTTTGTGGGGACTTTTTTGTTGATGTTGTTGTTGTTGCTTTCTGTTTTCCTTTTAACAGTTAGGCCCCTCTTCCCTAGGGCTGCTACAGTTTGCTGAAGGTTCACTCCAGGCCCTATTCCACTGGGTTTCTCCCACATGTGGAGTTGTCACTCATGGAGGCTGCAGAACAGCAAAGATGGCTGCCTGCTCCTTCCTCTGGGAGCTCTGTCCCAGAGGGGCACCGAGCTGATGTTGGTAGGAATGCTTCTGTATAAGGTGTCTGGCAAGCCCTCCTCGGTGGGGGGGGGTGGGGGTCTCACCCTGTCAGGAGGCACAGGATGAGGGACCCATTTTTAATGAAGCACTCTGGCTGTCCCTTGTCCAGACTGTCCAGCCTCTTCAGAGCCAGCAGGCAGGAAAGCCTAAGTCTGCTGATGCACAGAGACTGCGCTGTCTCTTGCCCCAGGGGCTTCATCCCAGAGAGATCAGAGTTCTGTCTATAAACCCCTGGTTAGAGTTGCTGAAATTCCCGCAAGGAGGCCCCCATCAGGTGAGGAAGGATGGGTCCAAGTTATTTTCTTTCTGAGGCGGAGTCCTGCTCTGTCACCCAGCCTGGAGTATAGTAGCCTGATCTTGGCTCAACCCAACCCCTGCTCCCCAGGTTCAATCAATTCTCCTGCCTCAGCCTCCCAAGTGGCTAAGATTACAGGTGAGAGCCACCACGCTCACCTAATTTTTGTATATTTAGTAGAGACTAGGATTCACCATGTTGGTCAGGCTGGTGTCAAACTCTGACCTCAAGTGATCTGTCCCCCTCGGCCTCTTAAAGTGCCAGGATTACAGGCGTGAGCCACTGCCCAAGTTCAGCCTAAAGAAGATAGTCTTGCCACAATCTGCTACAGCTGCTGTGCTGCACTGTGGAGAATTCCTCCTGGATCTAAACTGCCCAGCTTCCCCAGCACCAGCAGGGGAAGACAGCAGACTGGAGTTGCAGTGATGGCTGCCGCTCCTCTCCCCCAGAGTTCAGTCAGCTTAGGCAGCAGGCTGCCACAGTGATGGTCGCCTCCACTCTCCCAGGGAGCTCAGTCATCTTAGACAGCAAGCAGCTGCAGTGATGGCAGCCACCCCTCTCCCTGGGAGCTCAGTCATCTGACGCTGCAGGCAGCTGCAGTGATGGTAGCCACACCTCTCTACAGGGAGCTCAGTCATCTTAGGCAGCAGGCAGCCCCAGTGATAATGGCCACTCCTCCCCGCAGGAACTCGGTAGTCTTAGGCAGTCTCCAGCCCAGCAGCCACAGAGATTCTGCATAGCTCTGTGCTTGAGAATCAAAGGCCCTGGTGGCATGGGCTCACAAGGGGTATCTCCTGATCCACAGGTTGCCCAGATCCATGGAAAAAGCATGGTTTCCCAGCATGGTACCACAGTCACTCACTGCCTCCCTTGGCTGGGAGTGGGAGCTCCCCTTTACCCCATGGGGCTCCTGAGGGGGCCATCACTCCACTCTGGTTTTCCTTAATCTCTGTGGGTTGTGCCAACCACCTCGTCAGTCCCAGTGAGAGAACCTGCATACCTCAATTGCCAGTACAGGATTCACTCACTGTTTTTGTTCTTCTCAGTAAGAGCTACTGACTGTAGCTGTTTCTAGTTGGCCATCTTGGCCCCTCCCCTGTAGTTTGAGTTCTTAGATTTAAATCTTTAACCCATCGTAAGTTAACTTTTGTATATGGTAAAAGGTAGGGGTCTAGTTTCATTCTTCATATAGCTAGATAATTGTCCCAGCACTATTTATTGAATAGAAAGCCCTTTCTCCGTTGTTTGCTTCTGTTAACTTTGTTGAAGATCACATATTTGTAGTGTGTGGCTTTACTTCTGAGTTTTCTATTGGGCTCCACTGGTCTACGTGTCTGCTTTTGTACCAGTACCAAACTGTTTTGATTACTGTCACATAATAGTTTGAAGTCCAGTAGTATGATGCCTCTAGCTTTGTTCTTTTTGATTAGGATTGCTTTGCCTATTTGGGCTCTTTTGTGGTCCCATATTGTGTTAGGCCATTCTTGTGTTGCTACAACACAAGTTATAAGAAGTCTTAGGAATACCTGAGACTGAGTAATTTATAAAGAAAAAAAGGTTTAATTGGCTCACAGTTCTGCAAGCTGTATATGCATGGTGCTAGCATGTGTTCAGCTTCTGAGGAGGCCTCAGGGAGCATGACAGAAAACAAAGTGAGAGCAGATACTTTACACGGTGAGGCAGGAACAAGAGGAACAGGGGGAAGATACCACACACTTTTAAATAGCCAGATCTCATGAGAATTTACTCACTATTGCAAGGACAGCACCATGGGGATGGCACTAAGCCATTCATGAAAAATCTGGCCCCCTAACCCAGTCACCTCCCAATGCTGAGGATTATAATTCAGCATGAGATTTAGAGAGGACATCCAAACTATGTCATGTGTTAATTTTATATTTTTTTCTAATTCTGTGAAAAATGACATTGGTAGTTTGATAGGACTAGTGTTGAATCTATAGATTGCTTTGGGCACTATGGCCACTTTAGCAATATTGATTCTTCCAATCCATGAGCATGAAATGTTTTTTCATTTATTTGTGTCATTTGATTTTTTTCAGCAGTGTTTTATACCTCTCCTTGTAGAGATCTTTCATCTCCTTGGTTAGCTGTATTCCTAGGTACTTCATTTTATTGTGGCACTCGTAAATGAGACGGTGTTCTTGATTTGACTCTCTGCTTAAACATTTTGGGGATATAGAAATGTTACTGAATTCTGTACACTGATTTTGTGTAACAAATGGGAGTAATTTATAGTCAAAGTTAAAATGCTGTGTCTGAACAAAACCTACCAAATCTGCTCATTAGATTTCACCGTAGGCCCAACAGTCTCATCATATATAAGAATAAAAGGACCATGCTACTACAGAGTTTCATAACTACTTCACATCCTAGAATTACGTCCCCTTAAACTCAGCATCTCCCTAGTCCTGGTTACATGGCAGCTGTCAGCCTGCAATATCCACACTCCCCCAGTGAAACAACAGTGGCACAGAAGTCACACTCTAAGGCTATCGCAAGGCACATTTTCATCATTCTACCAGTTCCAAGGGGAGTGTTTGGAGGCTTCCAACTTGGGAATGAACTTGCCTCGCCCTCTCTGTGTGCCCATGTCTTCCACAAACCCAAGCCCTACCCTCTGCTTCTGCTAAGCCTTTGGACAGCCAAGTGTCTTCCTTTTTTTCCTTCTTTCTTCATTCATACCCATTGGCTCCATCATCTCACAGATCCTGCTTCTTTATTTCCTTTATTACTGTTATTTCCATCTCAAAAACCAGAATTTTTAGATACCCCTATTTTATTCCAATATATTCACTAGCTTGTGAGGCTTTTCCTTACAGTTCTTATCAGCTTCTTCCAATCTCTGCACCTCCTAAAATTGGAAACATCCAGAACAGATGGTGTTCATCTTTGCTACCAGATGTTTCCCTTGGGTATTCTGTCCCCTAAATTCCCACAGCAAGTGGAGTTAGGATGTTTTGGATTGTTTGGCTAGCTTCTCCATCTGGCAATTGAGCTTAAAGTCTCTAAACTGGAAGATGTAGAGAGAACTCTGTGTGTGTGTGTGTGTATGGGGGAGGTGGGGACATCCCCCTGATTAATGGAAGACATTCCACAAAAGATGGGCCTATAGACAGTAGCCATGCATTACAATGCACTAGCTGTTCAAGGAGGCCTAAATTGGGAAATCAAATAGCCGAAGTAAAAAAAAAAAACTAAGGTTCAGAGTGACTAAGGAGCTATTTTGATCGAAGAATGCTGTAGATTCTTTTCACAGTCCAAAGCTTCCACACACAAATCTTTTTTCGTAAACCCAAATTATAAAACCTCAATCTCGCCAGCTTTTGAACAGGACGTATATTATATTCTTTCCCAAAACAAGCAGGTATTTATCAAAAGATAAACATTTAAGCTCTCTTTTTCTTGATTTTGTTTTTATCAATCTACCATTTCACACATACAACACACACAACACACATGGAGAATGTTTCTCCAGAGTCATTTTAGTGTCAATACAGATGTCTTCACATAAAACGAATGAGGGCAAATAGGGAGAATATTCACTACTGAAGGCCTCACTTCTCTTCATCTTGCAGGTAGCAACTTTAAAATTGACTTCCCCCTCAGACTGTCTGGATTGAAAAACAGCTCTGCAGTTCCAGATAGGTTTACCACCAGCCCATCACTGCATTTCATGGCATCAATTGCTGTTCTGCTTAGACATTTTGACCAAGAGATTACATTTAAACTGAATTTTAACAACATGGCTTACCAATAAAGCATCAGCAGAAAAGACAGGAAAAGATTGAGGTTCAGAAAGTCAAGGTGAAGTTAACGCCCAGCAGCAAATGCAGAAGTTCTGTGCAACTTCGTAGCGCAGCTGAGACTGTTTTGCCCCTTCAGTATTCTGGCTTTTCTGAGTGGAGTTTTACTAATTTGTTTTGCTTTGTTTTCTCCTCCCTACAGTCCTTCTAGAAACTGTGCAAATGAGGAATACCAACCTCAATTTCATTCCTCTCATATAATTTTTCACTCTATGAAATTCCATAACTTGTATTTTCTATTTCACTCATGTAGAAAAAAAATCAATTTTCCTTTTGATCTACTATAAAAGTTAGATGTACACAGTAAGTCCATTTTGGGGGAAAAATTAAACTTTTATCCACAGGTTACTTTGGAACTTCGTGAGCTTAGCCATCAAATCTTGACAGGTTTGGGTTCAACTGTATCTGTTATTATGTGTTCTTTAGGACCTCATTTCAGTTAATAAATCAGGTTTTTCACCCTGTCAGAGGACAGCCTCTGACAGTACCACCAAATCTGATGCTCTGTCAAAGTTTCTTCTTTAACAGTTCAGCCATTGATTTCAGCTGAATAAAATAAAACACCATTTGCTCTATACCAAAGGTGTTCATATATCTTTTTAACCTAAAAATTGTATAACAGGAATATTATGTGATGGTCACAGCCCAATTTTATGTCACAATGTTCTAATACATGTGTTTTATTCTATATTTTTAAATTTTTCTTATCTACATGTTTGAAATACTGGGATTTTTTAGTGATAAATAAGGAACACAAATATGACACTGTAGAAGTGAAGAAGATTGAAATAAAGATTGAACACCAAAAAAATTATTGAAAATATGAAAGTTTCTAATATTAATTTTTACTACAGTTCTCAAAGCCTTAGTTAATATGAATTTTCTTAATCTTTATTTCCATATTCTAATACTAGCCAGGATATTCATATAGCAAGGTGGACTACAACTGGCCTACAAACAAGAGCCTAGATATACCAAATATTCTAGATATGTAGCTTCTGAAATCAATGTATGGAAAGAAATTAACTGTAAATTATGTTCCATATGTAAAACTGTCCCAATTGCAAATACTTTATCAGAAGACTGGCACACCCAAAACTCACTACATAGGATACTCTATCAGCTTATCTAAAATTTAAAGACAAAAATAAATTTAGTACATCAAGGTAATTAAAAGTAAATTAAAATTACAATACTACTTGAAAGATTTTATTGTGAATTAAGCTAAAATTATTAGCACTTCTGAAATAAGGAAAATACAGTTTATAACCTCTACTGGGGATTTATCCCTTCCCTCAAAAAAAAAAAAAAAAACCCTGGAAAACAGGAATAAGAATACCTTCTTGAGAACTAATCTTACCACTTAATAATAACTCATGTCAAAATGATCAAAACAAATACAGATACAAATTCATCTAAATGAAGCAGAATGGCTCCAAAGCCAATAAGACTGAGTTATCACATGATTTGATATCAAAGAAAAATGTTTCTCTGTTTGAGAGGGTTGATCAAAGTATATGTTGACAATGGCCATTCTTGTATGCTTGGTCAAAAAAAGAAAAAGCAGCAAATTAAAGGACAATTCCTATTGCAATCAATATGCATTAGCCTACAGCTGTCATATAGACAAAGTCCCTTTTCTAAATCAATACACACCAACTATCTGCTGGTAATGCTGAAGTGCTCACCTAAAAGAGAAGGTGAGTATCTTAGACTTCAAAATTCGTATGCTTGTGTAGTAAATTTTCATAGTGAATTAATAAATTTTCTTAATGTTTTAGGATATAAACTCTGTCCCCTAAGTTTATGTTATTTAAAGAGACAGGAATAATTGGACTATGTATTATTACCTCCTCCATTACCTTGACAAAATCTAATACATATCACACTCTCAGTATTTTCTGACTGAAAAAATTTTAAGATTGTACAATCCAAATACCTTAGTGTAACTTCGTCTTCATGGCAATAATATTTCCTTAAAATATGCATAATAGATAATCTGATTTAAAATATCAGTCCTGAGATAAGGTGTTAAAGTGAGTTCACTTCTGAGAAAAGTGCTTAGAGGGTAGACAAAGTTAGACTTAAGGATACACAGAATCAAATACCAGATCATGAAAAGTAAAAAATCCGAGGTAATGGATGCCAACACCTAAATATAGCCATGAGATTGAAAAAGCCCATATCAGTATCTACTCAATGTATTACAGTGCTTGTGGATAACTTTAAGCTGAGAAGCATTTGTGCATCTGAAGTACACCAATGGTTTTGAGCAGCTGGAAATATTTCTCCAAATGGGGTGAGAACAGACTGGCCAATTTAGAAATAGTCAATCTCTGTCCCTTCAACATTTGAAATAAACATCATTTTTTAAAAAATTATGAACTTCACCAAAAGGATCAAATTTTAAACTTTAAAAAAAAGCTAACATTAAACTTTAATCTGTCACCCCCCAAAAAAAGAAAAATTAGACCACCTCTACCTTCCATCAAAAGGGCCGCATGTAAAGCAAAACATCCTGATTATATTTCCAAATCTGCTTAACTGTGACATAAGTAATCTCAGAGAACTAGCCACACCAAAGTACACAAACTGCGGTTGACAACAGTTGTAGAAGAAATATTGACTCTAAAAATAGGGCTTCAGTCCTGATAAGATATAAATCTAGTAAAACTGTTGAATCTTTTCGCCGAGATCAATCCTGAAGTACCTCAAAAATGAAAATGCAGAAAATTTAAACCCTCAGAATAATGATGAGCTATTTTGAACTAGTGTTTATGTATGTATGTGGAAGGCATGGGAGAGCAGGTGGCTTTTGCCTGGGTTTAGGAGGGGGAAGCTCATCGATGGAGAAAGTGCTGAGGTTTTGTCTTATTAGGAGAGAGGTATAAATATCAACTCGAATCATAAAGTAATCAAGAATTTAGAAGAAACATAAAATGGAACAAAGTCAATTGGTAAAGTTGGTAAAAAAAAAAGTTGATCCAAGTAAATCAGTAATTAAAATATATGTAATAAACTAGAAAATTAAGATGACTGAGACATACTACTTATAAGTAACACATTAAAAACATAATGACGTTAAATGTTGGGAGCAAATGGTGTATCAGCAAAATACCAAAATAAAATTGGTATGGTTGGCCTGGCACAGGTGGCTCACATCTGTAATCCCAGCACTTTGGGAGGCCGACGTGGGTAGATCATGAGGTCAGGAGTTCAAGACCAGCCTGGCCAATTTGGTGAAACCCCATCTCTACTAAAAATACAAAAATTAGCCAGGCATGGTGGTGGGCACCTGTAATCCCAGCTACTCGGGAGGCTGAGGCAGAGAATTGCTTGAACCTGGGAGGCAGTGAGCCAAGATCACACCACTGTACTCCAGCCTGAGCAACAGAATGAGCCTCCATCTAAAAAACAAACCAAACAAAAACAAAAACAAAAGACAAATGGTATGGTTATATTATAATAACACATAAAATAGACTCTTAGAGAAAATGTATTTTTTAAGAATGAAGAGAGTCATTACATACTGATGAAGACCTCAATTTGCCAAAATGATGGAACAATTTAAAACACATATGTATGTTAGTATCTAATAGCCTCAAAATACAAAAGTTGAGAAAATTTCAGCAACAATTTGACAGACTCACTATCATAGTGAAAGGCTTCAACACATCTCTCTCAATTATTGATAGGCAGAGCATTAAAAAAACATAGCTATATAAAACCCAAAAACCCCAATAAGCAAGTTTGGTCTAATGAAACTATTAATAGAAGATACATATTTTTCTCAGGCATATACATAACTGGAAATTTAAAAATGCAATGCTAAATAACTCAGGAATTTTTTAAATCATAATAATTTTAAAATGTTTTTAACTGATAATAAAAAACCCCTTTGATAATAATTAGTGGGATGAGGCAAAAGCAATAGTTGTAGTGTTAATAGTTATAAACACTTGTTAGAAGAAGACAGCTTCAAAATAATTTAGTTATTAATGTAAGTTCATGTAATTCAGTGTAAACTTAGTAATATTATTGAATCCTTTGGCTTAGGTCAATGCTGGAAGAACTGGAGAACCAAAATACAGATAATTGTGAAAACCCCCGTATGATATCATCTTAAAAAGTAACAAAGACAAAATAAAACAGTAGAAAATAAAAATAAGCAAGGACATATTAGAAAATATACTAGATTAGCAAAGACCAAAATGGGTTAAAAAAAAAGAGTAAAGAAGACTTTAGCAAAATTGATCAAGAGAATAAGAAGTATTACTAATAACTACAGAAAGATATTAAGTATATATCAGAAAGAAAAGATCCTATCAAGAATTATACGTCAAGAATTCATAACAGTTAGATAAAATGGACTAATTTTAGAAAAATATAACTTAAAATGCTGACTCAATAAAGAAATAAAAAGTGTAAATGGTCCAATAACTATTTTAAAATGTATTTGAAGATTATTTCTACAATGTAAACAGGCCCAGATGATTTTATAAGAAATTTACAACAAATATTTAAAGAACACAAAGTACACCAGTTTTATAAAATATAAACAAAATATATTATTCCAAACTCATTCTATGAAGCCAATATAACCCTGATACCAATATCAAAAAAATACATTAAAAAAATTACAGGCTCACTGCACTCATGGCAATAGATGCAAAAATCTAAAATTAATAGCAAATCAAATGCAACTGTATATTTCAAGTATGTAAGGATAAGTTAGTATTAGAAAAATCTATATTTTATTTCAACATATTAAAAGAGAAAAAACATATTATAATCTCAATGAATACATAAAAAGGATTTAATAAAATTCACTCTCATTTGTGATTTTGAAACATTTCTTAGTGGACCTTTAGATTACACTATATACAAAAATTAACTCAAGATGAAGACTTAAATGTAAGACCCGAAATCATAAAACTCCTAGTAGAAAACATAGCTTAAAATGTCCTTGACATTGGCCTTGGCAATCATTTTTTGGTATGACATCAAAAGCACAGACAAAAAAGCACAAATGGACAACTGGAAATACATCAAACTTAGTTTTTGCACAGCAAAGGGAACAATCTGCAAAATGAAAAGACAACCATAGAATGGGAGAAAATATTTGCAAAGCCTATATCTGATAAGGGGTTAATATCCAAAGTATATAATGAACTCATGCAACTCAATAGCAAAAAAACAACTCAATTAAAAAATGGGCAAACAACCCTGAATAGACTTTTTTTTAAAGATATGCAAATAGCAAACAGATATATGAAAAGAAACTCAACATTAGTAGTCATCAGGGAAACGCAAATCAAAACCACAATGAGATGGCACAGCACGTTGTTAGGATGACTGTTACTCAAAACAACAAGTGATAACAAGTATTGGTGAGGGTCTGAAGAAAAGGGAACCCTTGTATACTGTTAGTGTACAAGGGATTGTAAACTAGTACAGCCATCATGGAAAACAGTATGGAGTTCCTCAAAAACTTGAAAATGGAACTACCATGTGACCCAGAAGTCCCTTGCAGGGTATATATCCAAAGGAAATAAAATCATTGTCAAAGTGGTGTCTTTACCCTCTTGTTCACTGCAGCATTATTCGCAGCAGTCGAGACAGGGAAACAAACTAAGTGTCTGTCAACGGATGAATGGATACAGAAAATATGGTATATGTACATAAAATATTATTCAGCCATAAAAGAGAAGGAATCTTGCATATGAGATAAGAGGGATGAACCTGAAGGACATCATGCTAAGCAAAATGTCAGACATAGGAAAACAAAAACTGTATGATCTCACTTATATATGAAATCTAAAAAAGGCTAACTCCTAGAAGAAGAGACTAGAGAGGTGGTTGCCAGAGGCTGGGAGGTTGGGCAAATGAGGAGATGGTGGCCAAAGATTACAAATTTTCAGTTATAAGATAAATAAGTTTGGGGACTCTAATGTACAGCATGGAGGCTATTGTGAATAATACTGTTCTGTTTACTTGAAATTTGCTGAAAGAAGATCTTAAGTGTCCTCACCCCTGGCCACACACAAAGTGTAACTATGTATGGTGATGGATGTGTTGATTAAATCGATTATGGTAATCATTACCCAATGTATACAGATTTCAAATCATCATGTTATACACCTTGAATATGTACAATTTTTATTTGCCAAGTATATCTCAATAAAACTTGAAAAAATAAAAATATTGAAATAAAAAAACTTGGTAAATTCATTTAACCTGAGAAGCAGTAACCATTTTTAAAAAACTAAAGAAAATTCCACCTTAAAGGGGAAAATGCAGCCACATTCTTGGTAAAGTCAGGAATGTTACAAGAATCCCTATTACGGGCCAGGCGCAGTGGCTTACACCTGTAATCCCAGCACTTTGGGAGGCTGAGGCAGGCAGATCACCTGAGGTCAGGAGTTCGACACCAGCCTCAACATGGAGAAACCCCGTCTCTACTAAAAATACAAAATTAGCCAGGCGTGGTGGTGCATGTCTGTAATCCCAGCTACTTGGGAGGCTAAGGCAGGAGAATTGCTTGAACCTGGGAGGCGGAGGTTGCAGTGAGCCAAGATCGCGTCATTACACCACTCCAGCCTGGGCAACAGGAGCAAAACTCCGTCTCAAAAAAAAAAAAAAAAAAAAGCCTATTACCATTTCTATTCAATACCGAGCTAGAGACCCTCACTTGCACAATAAAGACTGGAAAAAGAAAAATTAGAAATGGGAAAATAAAGTCCTCCTTATCTGCAAATGATAAAATCAATTGGATTGAAAAACTCAATTTGTAGATCTATTGACAAGGTGGCTGGGTATAGGAAAGTCATTTGCATTTCTATATAAGAGCAGCACACTACATGAAAACTTAATTAAAAAGAAAAAATCATCTTACAATATCATAGTATCAAAGCATATAAAGTATATAGGCATTAGTATATTAAAAGGCATTCATGTTCTCCACGGATAAATTATGGAACTTCATTGGAATGAATATAGCTTTAACTAATAGGAAGCTAGCTCCTTTTGTCATCTCCAGAACACTACTCTGTAGTCAGTGAGGTTCTAGAACTAAGAAAACACAGGTCTTTCTGGCCATAGAATGGCTAAAATTGCTTGTGTCAAGCCAAAAAAAATGCCTATGTAGCATCCCCTTAACACCCTCAAAATGGTTCTCTATTTCTGCTCATTTTTCTGGTTATTCTTTGAAAGATGGTCCTCGTTTTTAGACACCCAGCCCAGTCAGGTTAGAGCAAATATTTCTCTTAACATTTCTTTCTGCTATGTTCAGTTTTTTTTTGTTTTGTTTTGTTTTTACCTCTGTTAGTCCTTCTTTATCTCAATGCACACTTTCTACTCTTTCCCAAAGTTAGTCTCAGCTTGCCTATTTCTACATTATTTATGTTCAAGTACTATTATTGGCTCCTTATAAAATATCATTTCTCAAAATGCACATTTGCATTGTATATGTGCAAATGTGTATAAATATATATACATATGTATGTGTGTGTACATCTCCTATAACACAATGGTGTAAATCTCTTAATGCATAAATATGAACAGGGCCTATTCGGTATTTCTGTGCACCAAATCCCCATTATCATATATTAATGTGGGAGGCAGAAGCAGATTTAAAAATAAGTAACATAATTTATAAGTAATCAAGTAGTTTCTCTTTTTAAAAGCCACTTAAAATCTTACACTACTGTTTTTTTCTGACTTTTTTTAATAGCATATATACTCAGAAATTAGAAAAAAACTCCGATATGTATTACAGGCCAAAAAAAAAGTAAAATTAAGTAAGTGCTTAATTTCATTTATCAAAAAGTCTTCAGGCTTGATGTCACTCAAAGTGCCTGAGATACGTCTAAAACTAATGAAATAACAATTGAATAGAGCAAAAACTAATGTGCTAAAAATTATTTTAAGCCATGGAAAAAGGTTTTGAGATTACATTCCTATCTGATTTAAGTTTTCAGACTGCAAGCCAACTGGGGGACAAGTGAATTTGTCTTGGCATGCATAGCTGTTCAAAAATTATCTACTTATTTCCCTTAAAAAAATAACAGACAAATATTCACTCCTTGTGAACTTTGACAGAGGGAGTCTTTTCCCTGAATTAAAACAAAAAATCCCAAAGTAATAAAACAGTTACTGTGCATTCCACCACAACATACTTTCATCTTGAGTAAAAACTGACTTAATTTCAAGGGTTGATCTTTTCTAAAGCCTAGGAAAAGTGGATAGATTAGCTGTTGAAAGGAAAGTCTCAAAAAGTCATTATACTTATTCATTCACAACCTAATTAACTTGAAACAAATCTAATGCACTTTGACTCACTTGTTACCTCAAAGGTTCCTTTCCTGTCTCATATTTTTAACGGGTCTAATTGGTTTGACGCCACAATTTCAGAGTCCCCCACAAACCAGACACTGATAGACTTCCCACCGAACAAGCATACTTTTAAAAACTGAGTGACTTAAAGTAATTCTTTTTCTCTTGAGGACTCAAGATACTTAACATCATACAAAACCAAGATCAAGTTCATGCTTAGTAGTTTTGCAGCTAAAGCAAGGTTTCACAGCCCAACTATGATTCAAAAGTACCCAAAGGATCCCTGTTTCTTCTACTACATGAAACACTTCTCAACCTTGCCCCATGCTCCTTCTGCAGACTCATCTTTCATCACTTCTCACACACCTAAACCCATTGTGCAAACCACATCAAACTCATGACAGTAATTTTGTGACTATTTCTTGGTCCACGTCACTCTTTCTGGGTGAAGTTCCTCCTTTTTTTCCTTAGTTGGCAAACTCCTATTCATTTGAAGCCCAGCTCAAAATTCCCACTCACTCTGCAGCTTTGCAAAAATCTCCATCCAACTTCTAGTCTAAATAAATAAATTTGCTTTCTCAGATGTTCTCCTACAGACCTTTATACACAATTGACCCCTGAGCAACACATGCTTAAACGGCACAGGTTCACTTCTACATGGAGTTTTTCAACCAAACACCAATTAAAAATAGAATATTTGCAGGATGTGAAATCCTCTTATCTGGAGGGCAGACTTTAATATACATGGGTTCCATGGGGCCGATTGCAGGATTTGAGAATGCATGGATTTTGGTATTTGCGGGGTGTCCTAAAACAAATCCCATCCCCCATGGACAACAAGGGACAACTGTACATCTATATAGTTAACCCATGAACAACATAGGGGTTAGGGGAACGGACAGCTCCTTCACCTCACCCTGTATAGTCAAAAATCCACATATAACTTTTCATTCATCAAAAACTTAACTACTAAATAGCCTCCTGTTGAACAGAAGCTCTATCAATAACATAAGCAGTTGATTGACATTTTGTATGTTGTATGTATTATATACTGTATTATTACAATAAAGTAAGCTAGGAAAAAGAAAATGTTATTAAGGAAATCATGAAGAAGAGAAAATATATTTAGTATGCATTAAGTGGAAGTGGAACATCATAAAGGTCTTCATCCGCATTGTCTTCATGTGGAGTAGGCTGAAAAGGAGGAAGCAGAAGAGGGATTGGTCTTGCTGTCTTGCGGGTGACAGAGGAGGATGAAGATCCGTGTATAAGTGGACCTATGCAGTTCAAACCCACGTTATTCAAGGGTAAACTGTATTATAATACTGGTTTTATAAACTGATTTAGCTTAAATCTTGACGTTTAACCAATTTTACTAAACATTTGTCATTTTAGTCTCCTCAGCATTTAAACACCTCTAAGTTTAGGGTACAGTTGTCAGAATTCTCAAAAATAAATACGGGGAACCAGTTATGTTTGAACATATTTATGCTACAGAGTTATCTGTTATTTAACCAGAATTGATTTATGCTTTGCAATCCTAATACTTACTTAGTGCATTCAAATTTTGGGGGTAAAAATAGATAAACAGATCATGTGAAGCAGCATCATCACCACCACATCAAAAATAAAATTGCATAAACCTTGGGTAAAACAATAAAACAACCCAGGCATACACCTCAAGGAACTAGGAAAAGGAGAACAAACTAAACCTAAAGTTAGCAGAAAGAAATAATAAAGATCAGAACAGAAATAAATCAAATAGAGAACAGAAAGACCACAGAAACAAATCAACAAAACTAAGAATTTTTTTAAATAAACAATATTTTAAGACCTTTACCTAGACTAAGAAAAAAAGAAAAGACTCCAATATATAAAATCAAAAATGAATGTGAAAATGTTACAATAGGCCCCTCAAAATAAAAAGGATCATAAGGAACTATTATGAAAAACAATATAGGAGAGGGGCCAAGATGGTCGACTAGAAGCAGCTGCAGTTGGAGGCTACAACTGAGAAGAATGAAAACAGCGAGTGAATCCTGCACCTTCCCCTGAGGTATCCAGGTTCTCTCTTTGGGACTGACTAGGCAGTTGGTGCTACCCACAGAGAGCGAGGAAAAGCAGGGTGGAACAATGGCCCACCCAGGAGCCACATGGCTCAAGGGGAGCTTCCACCACCAGTCAAGGGAGATGGTGAGTAGTTGTGCCACCCCACTCAGAAAACCATGCTTTCTTTCACAGATCTGTGCAACCCATAGATCAGGAGATCCCCTTGTGAGCCCACACCATCAGGGCCTTGGGTCCCAAACACAGAGATATGCAGAGGCTCAGCAGCCACGCCAGGTTGCAGCCAGAGGCAGCATGCTGGACTCTGCCTAAGATGACCGAGTTCCAGAAGGAGGGGCAACAACTATCATTGTGGCTTCAGCCTGCCATTTTCCCCTGCTGATACCAGGGAGACTGGGCAGTTAGGACTGGGAGGATTTCCCCACAGTGCAGAACAGCAACTATGGCAGATCGTAGCCAGACTGTTTCTTTAAGTGGGACCCAGATCCATTCCTCCTCACGAATGGGATCTCCCTTTGGGAATTTCATCAACATCAACCAGGAGTTTAAGGACAGAATTGTGAACTCCCTGAGATGGAGCCCCTTGTGGGAGGGGTGGCCACAATCTCAGTGGAACAGCAGACTTAGCCTTTCCTGCCTGCCGGCTCCGAAGAGACTGAGCAGTACAGAGGAGGGGGATTCCTCCCAAAGCAGTGCACACCCTCCAACCAAGGGTAGCCATAGTGCTTCATTAAGCAGGCCCCTGATCTCATGCCCCCTGACTGGGTAAGATCCCCCAACAGGGGTCATCAGACACCTTATACAGAAGTATTCCTGCCAGCATCAGGTTCATGCCCCTTTGGGACAGAACTCCCAGCGGAAGGAGCAGGCAGCCTTCTTTTCTGCTCTGTAGCCTCCACTGGTGACACCTCCAGGTGCAAGAGGAACCCAGGAGAATAGGGTCTGGAGTGGATTCCCAGCAAACCTGAGCAGCCCTACAGATGAGGGGCCTGGCTGCTAAAAGAAAAACAAACAGAAACCAACAATAACAGCATCATCAACAACAACAACATAAAAACACAAAAACCCCATTTGAAAGATCAGCAGCCTCAAAGATCAAAGGTAGATAAAGTAACAAAGGTGAGAAAGAATCAACAACAATAAAAAAAAGCCAGAATGCCTCCTCTCCTCCAGATGATCACAACACCTCTCCAGCAAGGGGACAGAACTGGGCAAAGGCTGAGATGAACGAACTGACAGAAGTAGGCTTCAGAAGGTGGGTAATAAACTTCACTGAGCTAAAGCAGCATATTCTAACCCAATGCAAATAAGCTAATAACCATGATAAAATACCACAGGAGCTGTTATCCAGAATAATCAGTTGAAAGAGGAACATAAATAAGCTGATGGAGCTGAACAACACAACACAAGAACTTCACAATGCAACTGTAATTATCACAAGCTGAACGCACCAAGGGGGAGAAAGAATCACAGAGCTTGAAGACTATCTTGCTGAAATAAGACAGACAGACAAGATTAAAGTAATATAAAATAAAAAGGAACAAACAAAATCTCTGAGAACTACAGGATTATGTAAAAAGACTGAACCTATGACTGATTGGGGTACCTGAAAGAGATGGGGAGAACAGAATGAAACTGGAAAACATACTTCAGGACATCATCCAGGAGAACTTTCCCAATCTAGCAACAAAGGCCCACAATCAAATGCAGGAAATCCAGAGAACCCCAGTAAAATACTGCATGAGAAGATCAACTCCAAGACACAATTATCTGATTCTCCAAGGTTGAAATGAAGAAAAAAATGTTAAAGGCATCTAGAGAGAAAGGCCAGGTCACCTACAAAGCAAAGCCTATCACACTAACAGCAGACCTCTCAGCAGAAACTCTACAGCCAGAAGAGATTGGGGCTATTATTCAGCATCTTTAAAGAAAAGAATTTCCAACCCAGATTTTCATATCCAGCCAAACTAAGCTTCATAAGTGAAGGGGAAATAAAATCCATTTTAGATAGGCAAATGCTGAGGGAATTCATAATCACCAGGCCTGCCTTGCAAGAACTCCTGAAGGAAGCACTAAATATGGAAAGGAAAACCGTTACTAGTGACTGCAAAAACACACTGAAGTACACAGACTAAGGACACTATGAGGCAACTACATTAACAAGTCTGCAAAATAACCAGCTAGCATCATGATGATGAGATCAAATTCACACATAACAATATTAACCTTAAATATAAATAGGCTGAATGCCCGAATTAAAAGGCACAGAATGGCAAGATGGATAAAGAGTCAAGACCCATCAGTGTGCTGTATTCAAGAAACCCATCTCATGGGCAAAAACACACATAGGCTCAAAATAAAGGGACGGAGGAAAATTTACTAAGCAAATGGAAAACTGAAAAAAGTAGGGTTTACAACCCTAGTTCCCGACAAAACAGACTTTAAACCAACAATGAGCAAAAAAGGCAAAGAATGGCATTACATAATGGTAAAGGGTTCAATTCAACAAGAAGAGCTAACTGTCCTAAATATATATGGACCCAATACAGGAGCACCCAGAATCCTAAAAACTAGTTTTTAGAGACCTACAAAGAGACTTAGATGTCCACACAATACTAGTGCAAGACTTTAACACCCCATTGTCAATGTTAGATCATCAGGTCAGAGAATTAACAAAGATAATCAGGACTTGAACTCAGCTCTGGATCAAGTGGACCTGATAGATATTTACAAAACTCTCCACATTAAAACAACAGAATATACATTATTCTCAACACCACATGGCACTTACTCTAAAATCAATTACATAATTGGAAGTAAAACACTCAGCAAATGCAAATGAACTGAAATCATAACAGTCTCTCAGACAACAGCACAATTAAATTAATCTACAAAGAACTTAAACAGATTTGCAAGAAAAAAATCAAACAACCCCATCATGAAGTGGGCAAAGGATATGAACAGACACTTCTCAAAAGACATTTATGCAGCCAACAGACACATGAAAAAATGCTCATCATCACTGGCCATCAGAGAAATGCAAATCAAAACCACAGTGAGATACCATCTTACACCAGTTAGAATGGCGATCATTAAAAAGTCAGGAAACAACAGGTGCTGGAGAGGATGTGAAGAAATAGGAACACTTTTACACTGTTGGTGGGACTATAAACTGGTTCAACCATTGTGGAAGACAGTGTGGTGATTCCTCAAAGATCTAGAACTAGAAATACCATTTGACCCAGCCATCCCATTACTGGGTATATACCCAAAGGATTATAAATCATGCTACTATAAAGACACATGCACACGTATATTTATTGCGGCACGATTCACAATAGCAAAGACTTGGAACCAACCCAAATGTCCATCAATGATAGACTGGATTAAGAAAATGTGGCACATATACACCATGGAATACTATGCAGTCATAAAAAACGACGAGTTCATGTCCTTTGTAGGGACATGGATGAAGCTGGAAACCATTCTGAGCAAACTATCACAAGGACTGAAAACCAAACACCTAATGTTCTCACTCATAGGTGGGAATTGAACAATGAGAATGCTTGGACACAGGGTGGGGAACATCACACAGCAGGGCCTACTGGGGGGTAGGGGGAGTGGGGAGGGATAGTATTAGGAGAAATACCTAATGTAAATGACAAGTTAATGGGTGCAGCACACCAACATGGCACATGTATACATATGTAACAAAACTGCACGTTGTGCACATGTACCCTAGAACTTAAAGCATTAAAAAAAAAAAACTCAAGATTAAGAAACTCACTCAAAACCACACAACTCACTTAAGGAGGCTGAGGCAGGTGGATCACTTGAGGTCAGAAGTTCGAGACCAGCCTGGCCAACATGTTAAAACTCCATCTCCACTAAAAAATATATAAAAATTAGCCAGGCTTGGTGGCGTGGCTATAGTCCCAGCTACTTAGGAGGCTGAGGCAGGAGAATCACTAAGGCAGAAATCAAGAAGTTCTTTGAAACTAATGAGAACAAAGAGACAACATATCAGAATCCCTGGGATGCATCTAAAGCAGTGTTAAGAGAAAAATTTATAGCACTAAATGCTCACATCGAAAAGCTAGAAAGATCTCTAATCAACATCCCAACATCACAACTAAAAGAACTAAAGAACCAAGAATAAACAAACCCCAAAGGTATCAGAAGACAAGAAATAATCAGGATCAGAGTAGAACTGAAGAAGACAGACACAAAAACCCTTCAAACAAAATCAACAAATCCAGGAGCTGGCTTTTTGTAAAAGTTAATAAAATAGACCACTAGATAGACTAATAAAGAAAAAAAAGGAGAAGAATCAAATAGACACGATAAAAATGATAAAAGGGTTATCACCACTGACCCCACCAAAATACAAACAACTGTCAAATAACACTATAAGCACCTCTATGCAAATAAACTAGAAAATCTGAAAGAAAAAGAAATGGATAGAGTCCTACACATATACACCCTCCCAAGACTGAATCAGGAAGAAGTTAAATCCCTGAATAGACAAATAACAGGTTCTGAAATTGAGGCAGTAATAAATAGGCTATGAAACAAAAAAAGTCCAGGACCAGGCAGATTTATAGCTGAATTCCACCAAAGGTACAAAGAGGAGCTGGTACCATTTCTTCTGAAACTATTCCAAACAATTGAAAAGGAGGGACACCTCCCTAACTCATTTCATGAGGCCAGCATCATCCTGATACCAAAACCTGGCAGAGATACAATAAAAAAAAGAAAACTTCAGGCCAATATCCCTGATGAACATTGATGCAAAAAGCCTCAATAAAATACTGGCAAACTGAATTCAGCAGCACATCAAAAAGTTCATCTACCACGATCAAGTCAGCTTCATCCCCAGGATGCAAGACTGGTTCACAATATGCGAATCAATAAATGTAATTCATCACATAAACAGATCTAAAGACAAAAACCACATTATTATCTCAATAGATGCAGAAACAGCCTTCAATAAAATTCAACATCCCTTCATGTTAAAAACTCTCCCTAAACTAGGTATTGAAGGATCATGTCTCAAAATAATAAGAGCCATTTATGAAAAACCCACAGCCAAAATCATACAGAATGAGCAAAAGCTGGAAGCATTCCCCCTGAAAATCAGCACAAGACAGGGATGCCCTCTCTCACCACTCCTATTCAACACAGTATTGTAAGTTCTTGCCAGGGCAATCAGGCAAGAGAAAGAAATAAAGGTATTCAAATAGGAAGAGAGGAAGTCAAATTGTCTCAGTTTGTAGATGACATGACTGTATATTTAGAAAACCCAATGATCTCAGCCCAAAAGCTTCTTAAGCTGATAAGCAAGTTCAGCAAAGTCTCAGGATACAAAATCACTGTGCAAAAATCACAAGCATTCCTATATACCTACAATAGACAGAGAGCCAAATCATAAATGAACTTCCATTCACAACTGCTACAAAGAGAATAAGATACGCAGAAATACAGCCAACAAGGGAAGTGAAGGACCTCTTCAAGGAGAACTACAAACCACTGCTCAGAAAAATCAGATGACACAAACAAATGGAAAAACATTCCATGCTCATGGATAGAAAGAATCAATGTCATGAAAATGGCCACACTGCCCAAAGTTATTTATAGAATCAATGCTATTCTCATTAAACTACCATTGATGTTCTTCACAGAATTAGAAAAAGCTATTTTAAAATTCATATGGAATCACAAAAGAGCCTGTATAGCCAAGGCAATCCTTAGCAAAAGGAATAAAGCTGGAGGCATCGTGCTACCCAACTTCAAACTATACTACAAGGCTACAGTAACTAAAACAGCATAGTATTGCTACAAAAACACAGGCCAATGGAACACAATAGAAAATTCAGATATAAGAGCACACATCTACAATCATCTGATCAACAAACCTGACAAAAACAAGCAATGGAGAAAAGATTCCTATTTAATAAATGGTGGTAGGAGGACTGGCTAGCCATATGAAGAAAATTGAAAGTACACCCCTTCCTTATACTGTATATAAAAAATAACTCAAGATGGATTAAAGACTTAAATGTCAAACCCAAAACTATAAAACCCTAGAAGAAAATCTAGGCAATACCATTCAGAACATAGGCATGGGCAAAGATTTCATGCTGAAATCTTTGTTGATAATGTCAACAGCAATTGCAACAAAAGCAAACATTGACAAATGGGATCTAATTAAACTAAAGAGCTTCTGCACTGCAAAATAAAGTCATCAGCGTGAACAACTATCATCAGAACAAACAGAATGGGAGAAAAATTTTGTAATCTATCCATCTGACAAAGGTGTAATATCCAGAATCTAAAAAACTTAAATTTACAAGAAAAAAAATTAAAAAGTGGACAAAGGACATAAACAGGCACTTCTCAAAATAAGACTCATGCAGCCAACAGACATACCAAAAAAACCTTAACATCACTGATTATTAGAGAAACGCAGATCAAAACCTCAATGAGATACTATCTCACACCAGTCAGAATGGTGATTATTAAAAAGTCAAGAAACAACAGATGCTTGTGAGGTTGCAGAGGAATAGAAATGCTTTTACACTCCTATTGATGGAAATGTAAATCAGTTCAACCATTGTGGAAGACAACGTAGCAATTTCTCCAAGACTTAGAACCAGAAATACCATTTGACTCAGCAATTCCATTAATGGATATATACCCAAAGAATATAAATCATTCTATTATAAGGATACATGCATGGGTATGTTCACAGCAGCACTATTCTCAATAGCATAGACATAGAATCGCCCCAAATGTCCATGAATGATAGACTGGATAAAGAAAATGTGGTATGCATATACCATGGAATACTATGCAGCCATAAAAAGGAATGAAATCATGTCCTTTGCAGGGACATGGATGGACCTGGATGCTGTTCACATCAGCAAACTAACGCAGGAACAGAGAACCAAATGCTGCATGTTCTTACTTATAAATGGGAGCTGAATAATGTGAACACATAGACACAGGAAGAGGAAAAACACACTGAGGACTTTTAGCGGGGAAGAGGAGGGAGAGCATCAGAAAGACTAGCTAATCCATGCTGGGTTTAATATCTACATGATGGGTTGATAGGTGCAGCAAGTCACCATACCACACGTTTACACGTGTAAGAAACCTGCACATCTTGCACATTTACCCTGCAACTTAAAGTAAAAAATTAAAAAATGTTACTTTCTGTATGGAAAAAAAGAAAAACAATATAGCAACAAATTTGGTAATTTAAAGGGAATGTTAAGTTTAGAGAAAAATATAACCTAACGAGGTTGAATCAGAAAAATAGAAAGCCTGGGCCGGGCACAGCAGCTCACGCCTGTAATCCCAGCACTTTGGGAGGCCGAGGTGGGTGGATCCCGAGGTCAGGAGATCGAGAACATCTTGGCTAACACAGTGAAACCCCGTCTCTACTAAAAATACAAACACTTAGCCAGGCGTGGTGGCGGGCGCCTGTAGTCCCAGCTACTCAGGAGGCTGAGGCAGGAGAATGGCGTGAACCCGGAAGGCGGAGCTTGCAGTGAGCAGAGATCGCACGACTGCACTCCAGCCTGGGCGACAGAGCGAGACTCCGTCTCAAAAAAAAAAAAAGAAAGAAAGAAAAATAGAAAGCCTGAACAGACTAACAACAAAGAGCCTGAATAATTTAAAACCTCCCAGAAAAGAAAAACCCAGGACCAGACCGCTTGAAGCTGAATTCTATCAAATTCTTAAAGAAGAATTAATACTATTATGTCTTAAAGTCTTCTAAAAATAGAGCTGGAGGGAATGCTTCCTAACACATTTCATGAGGCCAGAATCACCTAACACAAAAGACTATGGTCCAATGTCTCTGATGAACATTGATGCAAAAATCATCAACAAAATATTAGCAAATCAAATTCAACAACACATCAAAAATATTGCACATCATAATCAACTGGGATTTATCTCTGCCATGCAAGCCTGGCTTAACATACACAAAATCAATTTGATAAATAAATTTCACAGACTGAAAGCCAAAATCCACATGATCATCTCAAATGATGCAGAAAAAGCATTTGACAAAGTCAATATCATTTTTTTGATAAAAACTCTTATCAGTTTTGGTATAGAGATAGTGGACATGTTCATTTGTTTCACTATAGTTATCATTTTACTAGATATATGTATCTCATTATATCATGCTTAACTTAAACATATACAGTACCTTAAATATATGCAATAAACATATTTTACCTTAAACATATGCAACCTTAAAGATATTTAATACCTTAAACATGCTTACCTTAAATATATGCAATACCTTAAATATATGCAATAAAGTTATTTTTTTTAAATGATAATAAAAATCCCTGGCAAACTCTATAAATTTTGCTACTTACTATGTATTATTTGTAATTATGTATTGTAATTATGAATCAAGACAAAATAAACAATTCTCTAGTTTGTACTCCTAATACCTAGATGATACTTCTATGGTGTAAACTTTATACTTCAAAAAGAGCTAGTGAAGGATCAATAACTTTGTTTTTTTGTTTATTCGCTTCAGACGGAGTCTCGCTCTGTCGCCCAGGCTGCAGTGCAGTGGCGCAATCTTGGCTCACTGCAACCTCCGCCTCTTGGGTTCAAGCAATTCTCTGTCTCAGCCTCCCGAGTAGCTGGGGCTACAGGCACATGCCACCATACCTGGTTAATTTTTGTATTTTTAGTAGAGACAGGGTTTCACCATGTTGGCCAGGCTGGTCTCAAACTCCTGGCCTCATGTGATCTGCCTGCCTTGGCCTCCCAAAGTGGTGGGATTACAGGTGTGAGCCATTGCGCCCGGCCGCACGACTTTTTAAGAAAAAAGTTTTCTAAAATTACAATGTTTTTTCCCCAACCATTTCTTCCTTTTGTAGTATTAATTTTATTTTGCAAAATATAATATAGAATAAGTGCTTATTTACATATCTAGTAAAATGGTCAAAAGTGAAGGGGTTTTTTTTGACTAAGCTCTTTTCCATATAAAATTTTCATAGAAATAGACTTCTGCAATTTTTTTCTAAAAATAAATAATTTCATGAAATCAGAGCTTCAAAGGATTGTTTATAATGTTAGGATAAAATTAAATACTTTCCTTATCAAATCATAAACATTCATTTGTGACAATGATTCAAAATCTGCTTTTAAATTCAGTTAAATCATTACACTGCCTCACAGAATAACCTCGAGAGAGTTTTTTTTCCTAATTCCATATTCCAAAACTAAGATTATCCCAGGATCCCCTGAGTTCTGTCCGCCCAAACACACACACACACACACACACACACACCCCTTTCGCTGTGAGAGAAAAGTGACCTTTAGGAAGATACTGGTGTGTAAAAGGAAATAAGAGGAATAGGAACCAAGGGTTAATAAACCATATTTGAACTTTGTACTTACAGACCCAGAATATAAATGTTGGATATTCTACAAATACGAAGATTCTGCTGATCTTCACTTCCCCAGTCACTCTTAAATGGAGGACCTTAGAAGGTGCATGTAACAATCCAAATTCATTTAAACTTACCTCTGTCCAGATTCCATGGACAACTTTTGCTAGAATCCAGAGTCTAAATTTCCATTAATTACATATACTTCATTTTTTAGGACCCATATTCAGTGCTTTGTTATAAGGACTCCAGTGACTTACGAACCTGAACAATACATCTACGCATTAAAGCTTATGTGGAATTTTTCCTCTTTTTCTTGACTTCTCAGCTGATTTCCACATAGTTGACTATCTTCCTCATACATTCTTCTCCTTTGAATTCTGTGACTTCATACTCAGCTGGTTCTCCTTTTACCTTACTAGTGGTTCTTTCTTGGTCTTTAATTGCTTCTCCTCTGGGTTTTAAATATTTAGATTCCTAAGTATGTTTTTCTAGACTCTCTTCTCTTTGCACTCTCCACTTTTTTCTTAAGTAAACTCATTGATTCCAGGGTTTCCATGTAACGCAATTGCCACCTAATTTGATACACCCAGCCCACACAGCTCCTGTGAGCACCAAATCCTCATATCCAACTGCATAATTAATGTCCCAGGAAGATAATTCACAGGGCTTTGATTTTACACAAGCAAAATCCAGCTCATGATATTTCCTCAAAAAATAGCCTTTGTGTCCATTGTATTATTCAGCCAGTGGCAGTCACCATGGTTTCAGAGCACCAGTTATAATTTGAACTGACTTAGGCTCTAATCTTACCTCACACTCTGTATTTTTCCATTCTCATGCTGCTAATAAAGACATAGTCAAGACTGGGTAATTTATAAAGGAAAGAGGTTTAATGGATTCACAGTTCCACATGGCTGGGGAGGCTTCACAATCATGACAGAAGGCAAAGGAAGAGCAAAGGCCTGTCTTACATGGCAGCAGGCAAGAGGGAATGTGCAGGGGAACTCCCCTTTATAAAACCATCAGATCTCATGAGACTTATTCACTACCATGAGAACAGCACAAGAAAAACCTGCCCCCATGATTCAATTACCTCCCACTGGATCCCTCCCATGACACATGGGGATTATTACAATTTAAAGTGACATTTGGGTGGGGACATGAAGCCATATCAGACACTTAACTCAGTTCCATCTCAACTTGTTACCTATCTCCAGAAAACATCATCATTATTAATCAAATGAATTGAGAATCTGCATCTAAGCGTGTTGTTCCCTCCGTTCTTCCTTATTTCCCAAATCCTACTAGTGTTTCTTCCAATATTTTTCTGTCACATCTGTTCTCAGGAACAGAGCTGTTTTTATATAATAACCTGAGCATCTGACTCTCCCCTCTCTTGTTTTAATTCTGGCAATAGAATCCATGGGATTTCTGGAGCCAAGGATGGTGAGTACAGCATGTAGTCTCAGCTAAATTTAAGCTCCCTTTTAAACATAAGTTCCAATTCCAAACATCTTTGTGAATATATAAAAACTGAATGCTTTTAACAGCACCCAAGTCACCTGGAGGCCAAGGTCAGAGGATCTTTTGAGCCCAAGAGTTCAAGACCAGTCTGGGCAACATAGTGAAACTCCATCTTAAAATAAATAAATAAATATTAAATAAATTTATTATTTATTTATGAAGTCATAGAATTTCTCTTGTTGATGGTTTTTCTGTTCCATACCTCTAAACCCTTGAGTTTATCATCTAGCAGTTTTCAAAATATTCCTCTATATCAATGTTTCTCAAACATTTTATCTACAAAACACTTCTTATTCAATGTAAATCAGTATCACTAATTTCAGGTAAAAACTGCCATATTTTAAGTTATAAAAATAAAACATTAAAATCAGTATTTTCATTAATTTTATATCAATGATGGGGATAATAATACTTCTAACATTTTACTGAGGTCTCTGTATAATGCCAGTGGTATATAGTAAAAATTAGCTATGGGTTAGGTACACATCTGTGTTGATTTATTTTCTGTCTTAAAGATCAACCATAATGGTAACAAATTTAGATCGTTCTGGCTAGAAAGTTAAACAGTGATAAGAAATTATGAAGAAATTTCACATCAAAAACAATTTTCAGAGCAGGGCACAATGCCTCATGCCCATAATCCCAGCACTTTGGGAGGCTAAGGTCGGAGGATTGCTTAGGCAAAGAGTTTGAGATCAGCCTGGAAAACAGGGAGACCTTTTCTCTACAAAAAATTTTAAAATTAGCTGCACATGATGTCTGTAGTCCTAGCTACTTAGGATGCTGACTCGAGAGGATTACTTGAGCCCAGCAATTTGAAAATACAGTTTCATGCCACTGCACTTCAGTCGAGGTGACAGAGCAAGATCCCTGTCTCTACAAAAAAAATTTAAAAAATAATAATATTTTCAATGCTCCTTTAGAATATACGTTGGCAACCACACCACTTTAAAATATTTTAATTTGGAAGACTGTAGCAAATAGATTTTTCATTTGCTACATTGAATGCGGCCCTGAAAGGTATTTTTGTAGTAACACTTAGATATCAATGTAGATATAACCATTATATATTATCAATGCTTTTTTTCTGATGAGTGAATAAAATCATCAAGTATTGGGTAAGAGTCAGACTCATGGTTGGAGCCATTTGCTCCATAATTTAGCCTTACTTTAAATCCTGTTATACTTTAATCAAAAATAAATAAATAAAGTCATGATATTTCTATTTTTAAGCAGTAAATTTAGCCTTTTCAAGATTCAAACATATCACTAAGATTTATCATTTGAATAAGCCACTAAAGTTAACATACTAAGTATCCTAAGTACCAAGAAGAAATATTTTGTATCATCTTCACTTCAAAAACAGTAATTTTTGAAGCAAAGATGTTATGCTCTGAAAATTACTCTGTTTCCCATTAACAGCCAGAGCACCTCAGTGAAAAACCTGTCTTATAAGTTTTTGTCTATTTCTTCTTAAAACACCCAGAAAAGAAGTATTAACACTGACAGTAATTTCATCATATTCATAATACTCAGTACTTCATTTTGCCAGTAACACTAATTTTTTTTTTTTTTTTTTTTTTGAGATAGAGTCTTGCTGTGTCACCCAGGCTGGAATGCAGTGGCACGATCTCAGCTCACTGCAACCTCCACCTCAAGGGCTCACGACATTCTCCTGCCTCAGCCTCCCGAGTAGCTGAGACTACAGGTGCCCACCACCACATCCGGCTAATTTTTTTTTTTTTTTTTTTTTTGTATTTTTAGTAGAGACGGGGTTTCACCACGTTAGCCAGGATGGTCTCCATCTCCTAACCTCGGGATCCGCCCGCCTCGGCCTCCCAAAGTGCTGGGATTACAGGCATGAGCCACCGTGCCCGGCCAGTAACACTATTTTTTCCCGTACAAATGGCTCACACTCTGCCATACCAATCTTAAAACACCTTTATATTTAGCACCACTCAAATATAATGATTAATACTTTTTAAAAATCTCTTCTGTGGCATTAGATTTAGTGATAACTGAAACAAAGTCATTGAGTACTTACCTCTCGTATACTCTGCATATTTATCAAAAATGCATTCATGTTAGGCACATCACTTTTTTTGTCCAAATGAAAGTGCTTAATATTTAGTAAGCACATGAACATAATTGCTTTTCCAAATCAACTATCTTTGGTATTAGGCAACATCCAACAGTGTTGTTTGATTTTAAAATCATAACTTACAAATAATGTTTTAATTTTTTTTTAGCATTCATTATACTAGTTTATAATCTTTTGGCAATATCAAGACTAACACATTTTAAGAATAAAATCTCAAAAAATTCCACAGTAATTTTTGTGGTTTTTAGTTTAGCAAGATTCAATAACTTTTTATGAAAAGCAAAATTTTGCCGGGTGCGGTGGCTTATGCCTGCAATCCCACCACTTTGGGAGGCCTAGGCAGGCAGATCACGAGGTCAGGAGATAGAGACCATCCTGGCTAACACAGTGAAACCCTGTCTCTACTAAAAATACATAAAAAAAAAAAAAGTGAGCTGGGCCTGGTGGTGGGTGTCTGTAGTCCCAGCTACTCAGGAGGCTGAGGCAGGAGAATGGCGTGAACCCTGGAGGCAGAGCTTTCAGTGAGCCCAGATCGTGCCACTGCACTCCAGCCTGGGTGACAGTGCGAGACTCCATCTCGGAAAAAAAAAAAAAAATCAAAACTTTATTCTTATTCTTACTCTAGAAAAATTTCAATTGATTTGATTTGCGAGTAATCAGAAAATAGCATCGTAACAAATACAGCTTTTAGTCTTTATTTGATACAGTTTTCAAAATAAATAGACTGCATATCCTATAAAATTTAATTTTCACATATTCGTCTGAATAATCCATTGTATTTCTTACCTAAAGTTTTCTATTTTGGCTGCTTATGTTAACCTATTATACTTTATTATTTTTCTAAAACTATGCAGATTTATATTCTATATTCACATGATTATTCTTAAATGATGTATTACCTGACAGTTGTTATCGCTTTTATGCTTTTATAAAACATTTTAATCCATTGATCTATGTTTCAGGATTTGGGGCTAAAATGCAAAACAACTATAATAATAGAATACGAACTTCGAAAGCTTAAGCAATAAGTAAATGATACACAAATATTTTAATCAAAACAAGCTGCCCCTTGAAAACTAAATGTAAGCCAAGACAAACTGACCAATTTAGTGCTTGTTGCACTTACTAAGATTGTAAGGAAGTAATGGAACTTCTGAAAATCTTATGATTAATCTTCTATTTTAAAGTTGTAAAGTTATATACATTTTATATATAAAGTTATATATATTTTATATACATTTCTTTCCTTTTTTCTTTGTAAATATCACATCACATGATAAACCTTGATAAACCAATTGGTATCACCATACATTGATATACATGTCACCAAAAAAGTATTCCATAGGTCAAGTCCTCGGAAAATTTGAACTAAACAAAGTCTACTAAGTTTCTTTCCTAAGAGCAAAAATTTAGCATGTGATGGTGTATGAAATTACTTCAGCACATTATTTTCTTCCCATTTTATGGAAGTTTCATTTGGAACATGGTTTGAAAATAGATTTTTGTTTGTTTGTTCCTTCAGTCCCACCTGGACTTAATTGATTAGTGGGTTTTTGTTTTTCATTTTTATTTTTTATTTTTTGAGACAGTCTCGCTCTGTTGCCCAGGCTGGAGTAGAGTGGTGCAGTCTCAGCTCACTACAACCTCCGCCTCCCAGGTTCAAGCGATTTTCCTGCCTCAGCCTCCCGAATAGCTGGGATTACAGGTGCCTGCCACCACGCCTGGCTAATTTTTTTTTCTGTATTTTTAGTAGGGACGGGGTTTCACCATGTTGGCCAGGCTGGTCTCAAACTCCTGACCTCGTGATCTGCCCATCTCGGCCTCCCAAAACGCTGGGATTACAGGCGTGAGTCACCACAACCGGCTAATTAGTGAGTTTAATGAGACTAACCAGGTGTCACTTATGGCTTAGGTGTATGCCTCCCCCCACCCCACAAGAAAACAGCTTAGTTCCTGAATAGGCATGTCAGTTTACTTTCTTCTGGAGTCCTCAGCTGAAAGACATTAACTACCATTAATTCTAACATTTGTAGTCATGTTTAACTTATCCATTTCTTGCATCTTAGGATTTCATGTAGCCTAGTTTCTTCCATCTTCTGATAAAGGTACAGCTTCATATTCTAGGCTTTCAGACCTTTATATAGCTCCAAAAGTACTGAATGTACTTTCCTTCTCTCACGCTGTTTTGCCACGTTTATCCACTTACCACTTTCTTCATCTTGGCACTGATTTTGCTTCATCTGCATAAAATATATTTTCTTCCTGTCTCCCTTCTTGGATTATTTATTACACCTTGTCTAAACATGTTCAACACTTTTGGAAGTGGCAAATCATAACACAAAAGAAAAAGAAACCACTGTTCCAAGAGCAAGGTGAAAGATTTTTGTTATTATTAGTTATAGTTCTGAGGAGAGAATGTGACCAGTGAAAAGGTAAGATCATTATGGGGTTAAATACTGCAAATAACAAGCAAGTGAATTTTATAAAAGTTTCTTATCCTTATTGAATCTCAATTTTCTCATCTTTAAAATAGATATAATATCCAAAGGTAGATTTATGATATAGAATGCATAATCTGGAAAATAAGAGATATTCAATATATATTAATTACTCGCATCCTGTTTCCTTGGGG
Source organism: Homo sapiens (assembly GCF_000001405.40). Taxonomy (NCBI): domain Eukaryota; kingdom Metazoa; phylum Chordata; class Mammalia; order Primates; family Hominidae; genus Homo; species Homo sapiens. Next base: position 118,435,160 of record NC_000005.10, read on the forward strand.
CAATCAGTATTTGTGGAATTCAGACAAGCTACTTTATTCCACTTACTTCATCCACCACAAGCAAGAAGTTTAAACCACATAATGTTAAAGGGCCTTGAATTTCTAATACTCTGTGAGCATAAGGCATGTTCCCTTCACCTCCTTCTACGGGAATCCAGCCACATGTCATTGCACATAACTGGGAGTCTCTCTGCAGAAAGGTAAGAACAACATGTACCTCAGAGGTCACCAGAGCAACTCCCTGGGTGCCCCTACTTGGTGTCTCATGATGAATTATAGCCTTTCATGGGCTTCCCTAAAACGTCCTTTTATAAGTAGTTGCAGAAATAGTTTACTTATATTTCTTCTTATTTCTCATAGGCTACGTATGCTGCCAAGAAGTCCAGGGATTTACAAAGTTTTATTAAAAATTTACTTTTCTAGCAATAAATTTCAATCACTAGGTTCTAGGCATGTTGGTCAGGGATGTTCTGGGTACCAGCCATATAAATGAGTGGTTCTTCTGTTTTCAACAAATGGGGATTTCATACCACTCTAACTCTTCCTGAGTGAAATGACAGTCTACTGTTCTCTCCATTATAGTATTAAACTGACTTCATTAGGGTTGCTGATACTTCTTTTATTTTCCTTTCAATCTCTTATAATGGATTAAAAAAATACAAATCTAAAAATGCATTTATTACTATACTTTTCTCTAAAAGCATTGCCCAAAATAATACTTTAAAGTAAAGTAACTAATATTCTCTAATATCCCATATGATAGCTATCAGTAGTTTAATACTGCCTTGAAAAGTACATGGAAAAATAAACCAATCCAACTAGCGAAGATATATTCATGTAATATTATATGTCTGACAAATTCACTCAAGCTAAAAATAATTAGCATTAAATCAATAAATTCAAGCTATGTGCGTAATCATCCCAATCTTTTAGAAGTCTGCTTTGCCACACCCTGTTCTCTTTTTTCTACTACATGTCATAGTTAATAGGTTTTTAATTAATACACAAGTATTATTTCTTTTTTCTTTTCTTTTTTTTTTTTTTTTTTTTAAGACAGAGTTTCACTCTTGTTGCCCAGGCTGGAGTGCAATGGCGCGATCTCTGCTCACCGCAACCTCCGCCTCCTCCCAGGTTCTAGCGATTCTACTGCCTCAGCCTCTCGAGTAGCTCGGAATACAGGTGCCTGCCACCATGCCCAGCTAATTTTTTGTATTTTTAGTAGAGATGGGATTTCACCATGTTGGCCAGGCTGGTCTTGAACTCCTGACCTCAGGTAGTCCACCCACCTAGGCCTCCCAAAGTGCTGAGATTACAGGCGTGAGCCACCATGCCTGGCCCTATATGCAAGTAATATTTCTAAAAAAGATTAGAAATTACTTGTTAGTAATGATACCTAACATTCAATCCCACCTTCTATGTTTAGACAGACTTGACCCATCTCTCTGGGATCTTTTGATAGCTATCTTATAATCAAAAAGAAAATGTTCAGAGAGGCTAGGTGCTTTGCTCAAGGTCACCCAATAAATATAGGGCAGAACTAATATAAAAGCTCAGGTCATCTAATTTCAGTGTTCTTGTTCTTATTATAAGACTCCACTGCTTCTCAATTTATGTCATAGCCATAAAAATTAGCATTTAAAATATTTTCAATTTACTTCTAATTATTCAGTTCTTCCTTTATCGTTCAGTTTAAGTGCTAAATATGACCCAAAAAAGGACTTTAATACAAGCCTACATTTAATGAAGTAAAAAGTCGTTTTATTTACCTAGCATCTTTTGTATCTCTATTAATTGCTGATTGTGTAACTGTTGCCTTTTATCAAATAGAAAAAGTCATTATTTGTATGATAGTATTTGAAAGCACACTTAGCCCAGAATATCTTCCTCACTGCATATCATTTGTTTACCTGACGTACAATCTTGTATAATGCAGCCACCATAAGAAATGGGTCACCCTAACTAATATCAGCTAATATTTTAGGGAAGGAAGGTAATAGATAATGAGCTAGCAAACCTGATAAGATCTCAAACAGAAATAGAAGTCAGGGTCTGTCTCATTTTATTTTTGTGTGTTTGTGTATGGCAGGCAAAAGTGCAGAGTATTATTTGGAGGTTGGAAGAAAAAAGTAGCCTGAAGGTATTGAAATAGAATACATAGTATAAAGGTCTCCTACTTTTTATTATTTGACTTGAGTTTAGCTGCTCTAAATTGAGTTCATCTTGCAAAGCATTAAAGCTGTTAGGTGACCGTGAGAAATCTTGAGGCCACTTGCCCTCTAACTTCCACACCACCAAATGCACTAATTCAATAACCTCAGAGCTCTTTTTGACCCCCGTCTTTCTGTACAAAGCTTGAGTCCTCATACAGCCAGATGAGACACTGAGTATTAGGGAAAACCTACATTAAAGCCAAGGCTTCACCACCAGGCAATATATGCATGTAACAAAGCGCATTTTCTATCCCTTAAATATATTGGCCAGGCGCAGTGGCTCACACCTGTAATCCCAGCACTTTGGGAGGCCGAGGCAGGTGGATCACGAGGTCAGGAGATCGAGACCATCCTGGCTAACGCAGTGAAACCCTGTCTCTACTAAACATACAAAAAGTTAGCCGGACGTGGTGGAGGGTGCCTGTAGTCCCAGCTACTCCGGAGGCTGAGACAGGAGAATGGCATGAACTCGGGAGGCAGACCTTGCAGTGAGCCAAGATCGTGCCACTGCACTCCAGCCTGGGGAACAGAGTGAGACTCTGTCAAAAAAAAAATCTATATCTATAGATACAGACATATATATATATATATAGATAGATCTAGAGATATACAGATATATACAGATATACAGATATAGAGATATATAGATATACAGATATAGATATCTATAGATATAGATATATAGATATATAGATATATCTATAAAATATCTATATAGAGATTTATATAGATTTCTATAGATATATCTATATACAGATTTCTATAGATATATCTATATACAGATTTCTATAGATATATCTATATACAGATTTCTATAGATATATCTATATACAGATTTCTATAGATATATCTATATACAGATTTCTATAGATATATCTATATACAGATTTCTATAGATATATCTATATACAGATTTCTATAGATATATCTATATACAGATTTCTATAGATATATCTATATACAGATTTCTATAGATATATCTATATACAGATTTCTATAGATATATCTATATACAGATTTCTATAGATATATCTATATACAGATTTATATAGATATATCTATATACAGATTTATATAGATATATCTATATACAGATTTATATAGATATATCTATATATATCTATATATAGATTTATATAGATATATCTATAGATATATCTACAGATATCTATATCTACATATAGATATATATCTAGATATAGATATCCACAGATATATCTATAGATATAGATATCCACAGATATATCTATAGATATAGATATCCACAGATATATCTATAGATATAGATATCCACAGATATATCTATAGATATAGATATCCACAGATATATCTATAGATATAGATATCTGTAGATATATCTATATAGATATCTGTAGATATATCTATATAGATATCTGTAGATATATCTATATAGATATCTGTAGATATATCTATAGATACAGATGTAGCTATCTGTAGATATATCTATAGATACAGATATAGATATCTGTAGATATATCTATAGATACAGATATAGATATCTGTAGATCTATAGATATAAACTTAAAAAGAACATGTACAGGGTACTCAACTTTTCTACCTTGTGCTTTAAAAAAGAGAGGAGCCCAGATTTGTGCATCTGCTCTTTGAATGACCTAACAACACATCAAAATTTTATCTAGTTTTAGCTAGCTAGTTTGGAGTTTGAGATTGCACAAATTTGAGATGTTTCTTCTTCATTTTTACAACTGATATGTGACAAGTGATGAAATTTTCAGCATAAATTTTGCCATTGGGGCTTCTATCTTTTTTTATGATTTGTTATCAGGCCCTGCTATCCTTCAAGCCACAAATACAAGTGCAACTTTCATCTGCATTTCAAATTGAGGTTAAGTATAAAAATTAAACATTTTCATCTTATTCTGGGTATCGGTCACTCTCTGTCTGCTCCAGAAAGAGCAAGACATACTTCCTGCTGCGTCTCTTTCAGAATGAGTTCTTGGAAAGGCCATAAGAGAAGAATAACTTGTTATTAACACGTCTACAACATATATAATTTACAGCTCTACCTACGTATTCAGCATTTAAATATGGTTCCCAAACAGCTTGGGGAAAAAAAAAAACAGGACAAAAGAGTTTTTTTCAACTGTGTCAGCTACAATCAAACAAGTAAAATAGTAAAATAAAATACAACCACCCACCCTCAACATATAAAGTAAACCTCTTAATTTCTACTAGAATCTGGTGGGTTCAATTATTGAAAAATGAAGATTCTATAAGAATATGATCATATAAACATCTATTTAATGTCTCATACAAAGGAAAAATAAACCGAAGTAAAAGTGCTTTAAAATATTTTATTAAATATTACCAATAATACCCAATCTATTCATACCTAAGAAAACACATCTTGCCTGATCTGTAAATCACTGTCACACTGATTGTATGTAGTTGTGTGTTGTGGGTGGTGCTTGTGTTTGTGGATGAGGGTGTGTAATCAATTTTCTTCTTTGGAATTTAACTTTAGAAGAAGTGCTCAGATCCTGCTGGGTAGCTAAATGAATCAACCTGTCTAAACATTTTTTTTTTAACAACAACTCTATCTACATTCCAGCATCTTGAAACGATTGTAAAACCACAGACCAAAAAAATTAAATTAATCCCCAGTGGACTGTAAAGGTTGCTGTTAATAACACTCATCTGAACTTAAGGCTTTAAGAGTTGCACGTCTGTCAAATAAAGGAGACAGAGAGCAAGGAGGGGAAGCAAAGACAGCCTCAAAACAGGGAGAGCACTTTCAGCTTCAACAGGTACAAATTGCAGATGGGAAATAGACTGTTAGCAAAATAAATTATTTCCTGCCCTCTTGCAATTTTTCACAACCTGTGTGGCAAAGATTTTACTGCTGACACCATCAACATATTCTTAGCATCTGTAGTCATTTACTGTGACCTAGTGGGTAAATCAACCCTCTTCTCCAAATAACCAAACACCAGATTCTGTATAATGCAAAATGCCGTCTGCTTTCCCGAGTGTGCAATGGAATTAGAAAAATAGAATTGGTCCAAAAGCTGCATTTATTTAACAAGGTGGTTATACAGAGAGCAAGCATTTATGAAGTCTCTTTTTATTTTCAAACTTCTGGCTCAATTTACACCAAAACAAATTCTAAACTGCTCCTTCAGGAAACCATTTTCCAAATGATATTCCTCCCTGAACCTCCCTAAGTGCATACAAACACACTCCTACATATCCTTATCCTTCCCTCTGTCCCCCTCCTTGCCTCCAAAAATGAAGCACTCTCATCTATTTGTTACTGTTTATTCAAAATAGCGACAAGGAGAGTAAGGCCATTTGAGGATAACAAAAAGAGACTCGATGTCACTTGCTCTCAAGACAAACACTTGACAGCAGTCTGAAACCACGTCGAGCCATGTTCTATTAAAAAAAAATCTATATCTTTTGAACCCTGCCTATTTATGAGCAGACAATTCTGAGTAATGTTACGCTTTGGAGCTTGAGAGAAAGCCACAAATATCATGCTTGGAAAATAGTGTCTCTAGACTAAAACTGATAAATGGCTGTTATGAGTGTGTCTTTTGAAAGAGAGTGTTGTGCAGACACAGCACAATCCCTAAAGAACGAGAGAAAAAAAGTCATATGTGAAGAATAACACACACAAGGGCCTGAAGTGAAGGTCACCGCACTGTCACAATCATGAGAAGCCCTTTGACTGAAAGATCACATACCATCACTAAATTGTAGATTCAGAGTAGCCTTTAAGGAGCGTTCAATTGACCCCTCTTGTTTGTTAATCATGAGAACATTCAGATCCAGAGTTAAGTAACTTCCTCAGGATAAAACACGAGATATGTGACAGAACTAGAACAGGAACTTCAGTCCCCTGTTGTGAGCCTAGTATCCAGTTATGAATCTTCTGTCCCTTACCAGCCCATATCTACTCAATCAGAAGTCAGCTGAGATACTTAGCCTTTTTGTTTTTGTTTTTGTTTTGTTTTCTTTCTGTTTTTTGTAGACAGAGTCTCGCACTGTCTCCCAGGCTGGAGTGCAGTGGTGCAATCTCAGCTCACTGCAAGCTCCGCCTCCCGGGTTCATGCCATTCTCCTGCCTCAGCCTCCCAAGTAGCTGGGGGTACAGGCACCCGCCACCACGCCCGGCTAATTCTTTGTATTTTTAGTAGAGATGGGTTTTCACCGTGTTAGCCAGGATGGTCTAGCTACTTAGCTTTAATCTGGGCTTCCTAAAAACAACAATGCAGGTAGAAATGGTAAAATTCATTACAGAGCCAACCGTATTTTTACACAAAACAAATATGTTGACAAAAATGATAATTATAGGCAATAAGGTTCATATATTGTTCTTAAGATGAAAAGGATCTAAAAGCATTTGGACTGTAGTGAATTTCTAACCAAAAATGAAATCAGTAGACTACTGGCCATGATAACTGATCTTTCTTCCAGCTGCCCTTGTTTGATTAGAGACACTTCCTAGAACTTTAATGTATAAGGAAGACGGAAATGATGCTCACTCAGGTATCTGGCACAAGGTAACCTTGTGAGGAGGCATTTGAGAATAACTAAATTTTTTTTTAAAATACCCTGTTTGTCATTACTTCAGCTGATTTGAACAAAACTGTGTTGTACTGAACTCTCTGGTCCCTGGGGAGTGACCGGATCTACCTTACTCTCACGATTAACTTAATCAGTCACATATGAAAGCTTTAGAAAAACAGTGATGTCCCCCTCTGCTACACTACATCAAGCAGCCACATGTTGTCCCACTGCAGACAGACTGTCACTTTCACTGCAGAAGCTGTCATAGGATGGAAAAAGTTATCTGAGTGCTTGACAGCCAGACAGCCTGTTTTGGGGAAGAACACAAAGGTCAAAACCCTTGCCTGGAGTTCAAATATTTTTCTCTTAGAATAGCAATCCTGAATGAACTGTCAGTGTTTTGAGTATATTTTCCTTAGTTCAGGTTTTTTAAAATAAGTGGTTAGTCATTCATTTCTGGGGCAAAAAAGAGACCCAGTTTTTTAAGAAGTTTCTTCTTGTATCAACAAACTTTCCATTTTTAAGAAAGAGTTACAGATGATTTGAATATCTAGATCAGTGGTATTCCTGAAGATGAGAAGTATATGAGGCAGGAGGCAGAAGCCTTCCTGGTAACAACCATCTCCCTAAAAGTCATTAAGAATATGCAGATTTGAATGAGCAAGTCTCTGAATCAAAGCTCAAACAACCCTTTGTTGTAACCACAGAAAAATGACACCGTGAAATATAAAAAGATTAGTAAAATAGGAACCATCAAATGAAATTATACTTTTTATATCAAGATGAATTTCAGCTTATTTCTCCAACAATAAGTTGTTACGTCAACAACTAGGAAAATTTAAAGACAAAACCTGGAAAACTTGTAAGAAAAGTATGCTATGTAAACAGAAAATAGAGAAAGTGAATCAAATTAAACAGCCTTCCCCTTATTTATTATTCCTGATGAAGTCCCTTTTATTATGTGTGATTTGTGATTAAAAGGGAAAGTGAATATTTATCACAATGGTGTTGTAATACCATTGTTTACATAAATTAGCATGGGGATGGATTGATAATCTAAGGTTCATAGAAAAGACCCATGCCCATGATAGAGCTCAATTCCATTACAGCAAATACCATTATAAGCCCTGTCAACAACATTCTTCAAATAAGATTTCTCAAATAATTTAAAAATCTAACAAGCTAAATAGGATCTGAGCAGTTTGGAGTTTTTCTTTTCACTTGCCTTTATTATGATTGAATTATAGCATCTTGTTCTGTGTGACAATTTTTTAAATATCTACAAGGTCCAAAATATTGTGCTAAGTATTGCGGATGAGTTTACAGAGCAGATTATGTATGAATAAGTGGGAGCAGCTCAATAGAGTTTGAAGACTGAGGCAGAAAGCAGTTGTACAGAGCTGGGAGGAACAAAAGGCAGGACAGGAAGGAAGCCAGGGAGCAAGGGTGAGGGCATGCAGAGCCTGCACTGAATAAGGAATTAGCTGGAGCCCTGTGGTGCTTCTCAGCCGCTTTTACATCTGTGCAGCATTGCTGTCAACCTGAAAGAAGCCTCGGCCAGGTACAGTGGCTCACGCCTGTAATCCTAGCACTTTGGGAGACCGAGGCGGGCAGATCACAAGGTCAGGAGTTCAAGACCAGCCTGGACAACATGGTGAAATGCCATTTGGACTAAAAATACAAAAATTAGCTGGGCGTGGTGGCACACGCCTGTAATCCCAGCTACTCAAGAGGCTGAGGCAGGAGAATTGCTTGAACCAGGGAGGTAGAGGTTGCAGTGAGCTGAGATTGCGCCACTGCACTCCAGCCTGGGTGACAGAGACTCCGTCATAGAAAAAAAAAAAAAAAGAAGGCTCACCCATTCTGAGAGCTGTAGAATAGACAGGATGAGGGCCTGCCACGCTGCTGGGATAATATTTAGTGGGCTTCCTTCTAGCTTGCTACCTGTTTCTAGGACAGATTGGCATGAGGGGTGATTTTTACTGCTTTTCTTTATGGGCCTTAAGTGGATGGGAATGGGTTAATCATAACCCTTGCATGGTCCTCTTTAACCTATTTATCTATCTGTCTGATTACTTTCATAATGGCATAAAATCCCATTTCTAGGCAGATTTGACTTGGAGATATAAACTTCTTAGCTACAATTAAAAGACCAGAAATGAATATCAGTGTCCAATCAGAGTCAATGGATACTAACTAGACCTAGGATAAAGTTGCCAAATTTAGCAAATAACAACTCAGGATACCCTGTTACATGGTAAACAGTATTTTTTAGTATAAATGTATTCCATTCAATATTTGGTACATGCTTATATTTAGAAAATTATTCACTGTTTATCTGAAATTCAAATTTAACTGGTTGTCCTATATGTAACCGGCAACCATAGTTTAGGGCTTCAGAAAGTCTAAAACAGCAACACATTTACCTCTCATTGTTTGCCACTGATTTTATGTGTAAAACATATAAGAATTGTCTTCCATTATATTCGTCAACCTAATTATGTCAAAATAGTATAATTCAAGTGCATGCAAGGCACAAGAAAGAACCAGAATACTAGACGAAGCTAGACATTTTCCATTTCTAAACATTTTTTCTACATAGCTAAAAAGGTGACTCTTAGAACAGTTCATAACTAATGTTGACAAAATGTCTTACTATTCTCTTATTCGTACCTGTAGGATTTTGCTTTGAGATTCAAAATCATTTCAAATTTAAGTGGACAGACTGTTAAAACTATTTACTAAATTTGAATTAGACACAGTCACTCACACGCATAAAAAGATAACTCTATGGTTTACACAGCAAAGATTAAAAGATAATTTAAACACATCATTCTAAAAGTCAGATCAAATTATTAATTCAAAGACTTCTATCCCCAAAGTTACCTCGAAGAAAGAATAGAGATAACAAATGTGGATAATCTTGACATTATGTCAGAAGTACTAGGGCTCCAACATCCACCACTAATACCAAAGAAGAAAAATGCCAAACTGAACTCCGTGCTATGTAAGAAGGAAAGAGGTTAAAAACAAAAACACAACTTCACCTATGGAAAGAAAAGAACAATAAAGAACAGTATTTCTGCATCAGGTAAAAATATTCTGAAACAAAAGATCCCAAATCTTGTATCCACAACATCCTGACACTGAGAAACTCTTATTATGGATACCATCTCTTCTCCAAGCAAGACACCCCCAATACCTTGCCTGATTTACTACCTAAAACAAGGCTAAGAAGGGACAAATGGCACAGTCTAGATCTCCAAATGTCAGGATGACAAATGTTATTTCTCTATTTCAAAGGACAAATCATCGATGCAGAGAATAACAAAATTTCAAAAGCACTCTGGCATGGTATCCTGAGAGGAAATTAAAGTAAAACAGTAAATCCTATCTTGAAGTAAAAGCCTATATCACAGTCCTGACGTGAGATACAAAGCAAAGCCAGTGGGACACTCAAACAGAAAGTGGAGAAAATAACTTTCCTTCATGGCAGCTAAGTCCTATACATACAGTGCACGAATTCCATGCACTCCACGGGTGAAAGGTAAGTTAAAGAAGTAGCGTTTAAGCCAAGAGGTGGAATTTTTCCAGAATGAGATCATTATTTTCCAAATAGAAGATGCTGCCTCCTATGTGACATTAACTTTTAGCAAGCTAGTAAACCTTCCTTTGCCTCAGTTTCTTAATCTGCATGTGAGAAAACAACAGTACTTATTTTATAATAAAGTTGTTATAGGAATTAAATGAATATTTGTAAGGTACTTAGTGTCTGACACATGGAACAACACACTAAAAGGAGTTGGCTATGTCAAGAAATCTTGGACATAAATACCAAGGAGTCCAGAGTCCTGGTTATTAGCAATAAAAATAATTATCACATAAGCTAACTGTGTGGCATAGCACTTCATAGAATATTCATATGTATGACCTCATTTGATCCTTTTGACCTCCCTGTGAGAGGTGTAATATTGACCCCATGTTATTAAGAAGTCAAGAGGTTGTCCCAAGATTGGGTGCCCAATACAGGTAAATAATAGCAACAGCTGAGTTTGTTTTTTTTTTTTTTTTTTGGTAGCTTATTAATCTTTGGATTAACTTTTAATTTGATGGCTTATACAGGTTCCACATTCTTCTTTGACCCACTTTTTTCTCCTCTTTACCCCTCACTAGCACTGCAGGAAACATGCAGGATAAAGAAAACAAAAGAAAATGTAAATTTAAACATGCCAAGTTTTTGCATCTGACTGGCAGAGTCATAAGACCATAACCGAACTGTTAGGGCACTTTTCTAAATTAAGCAACAAAAATAGTTCCCTCTTCCTCTCTGTCAGTAATTTTCCCACCCCAGCATAATTACAATGTTTTCTCCTGTGAATACCAGTTTTTAAAATCATTTATGTGACTGTGTATAGCTCAGCTATGAGATTTAAATGAAAATTTTGATAAATGCAAGTAATTGGCGTTAATTTGCATATTCCCCAATGATTGCCATTGGTTTAGGGTAAACAGTCTGAGAATCTTTACTGCATCTCAAATAATCAGAGATGGCAGTGCCTACATGGAACTGGTTAAAAGGTCACTTTAGGACAGAGATAAATAATCTAAGGAGAGCCTAAGAAAAGCAGCAGCAAAGGCCCATGCAAACCAAAGGACTCCACTATGATGAGCAAATGAGCAAAACGCTTAGGCTATACATTTTTAAAAAATTCAGTGAAAAAGCTTATTTGTTCATTTAGAAATATTAATTAACCCCTAATATATGCCAGGCATTGCACTGAGTATTATAGATTCTGTGGGGAGAAAACAAAGACCTGCTCCTGTTCCATGAGTGCGTACATTAGGTGATAAGGTTAGATCTAGTCTGGGAAGGCAAGGAGATTATCTCTGTACAAGTGAAAATTGTGCTGAGCTATGAAGTGATATTAACTATGAATAAAATGGGCAGAACAATATTCAAAAAATGTGTGGCAAAAGGGATGCAAAGTAACTGAAGTACAAGGAGAATGTGGAAGCATAATGATAGATGAGACTGGAGAGATAGCAGGGACAAGAGCTGACATGGTCCATTAAGTGACACTAATGACTGTTTTTCATTCTAAAAGAACTGGGAGGTTTTAAGCAAGAGCTGGGGAAGGGGTGAGATGAAGTGGCATTTACAGCCTTTGGAAAGTTTTGTTCCAGTAACTATGTGGATAGACTATACAGGAGGTTATTGCAGTAGAGAAATGATAATAGCTTTGAGGAGAATGGATGAAATGAAGGGAGTTGGTTATATATAGGATATAAAATTGTCAGGACTGGGTGATGAATTAGATATTAACTCATTTGATGATGTATGTCCAACACTAAGAACGATGTCTGGTACATAACTGCACCTAATAAATATTTGTGGAATAAATGTTAAATGAGTAAATACAAGAATGAGGGAAATGAGGTGTCAAGAATGACTGCTGAGATTCTAGGTAGAATATCTTAGATAAATGATGATTCCACAGCAAAGATAAAACACTCAAAAAGAAGGCCAGGATTGAGGTAAGGGTTCATTAGTTTATTTTTAATCTGTTGATCTTGAAGTGTCTTTAAGTCATCTAACAGAGCAGTCAAGAAAGAGAATGCATACCCTGGAGCCAAAAGGAGTGGTTTCAAACAAAAGTATGAATTTGTGAGTCACTTATTTATAAGAAGTGATTAAAACCTTAGGCATAAATACTATTGCCTAGGGAGAGACTACAGAGTGAGAAGAAGAGCGGATTCTGAAACAAGCTTAGAGAAGCTCTACAATCCAGGAAAAAGGTGATGAAGAAGGAGCCTGCAAAGGAGAAGCACACACAGAGAAGTTGGGTGCAAATAGGAAAGGTTTATATTGTGAAAAGCAAGCTAAGAGACTGGGTCAAGAAGAGACAGTGACTAAGTGTTGAATGCAATTCAAAGTCACGTATGAAAGACCAAAAGACATTCTTAGGGTTTAACTATAAAAAACGCATTAATGAGTTTAGAAAGAACTGTCTACATTCAGTAGAGGAATGGGAGTAGAGGCCAATGACATTAGGTGACTGGATGAGTGTTAAGTGATAAAATTGAGACTTTGTATAAAAGCAAGTGGAAAAGAAAAATAGTATAGTAGCTAAACAGTAATGAGGGAGGAGGTCAAATAACCAAAACGTAAGTCAAAGAGAAGCATTCTGTTGGCAGGAAGAGGATGACTACACATCAGAGAGAAGAGATAATCAAATGTGAAAGTTTTCTGAGAAAGTCAACTACTCTAAGTAATGTTAGTGTTAGAAACGCTCTCAGCAGGAGTCTAGCAGATTTGAGATGTCAAAATATGGTGATGGACAGAATGACCAAGAAAGAATCTAGAAAATAACCAAAAGGAACCTGTCCTGAAGTAAGTTGCATCAGATTAGGTATTTCACAATATTCAAGGAGAAATAGCTTTTGAAATTTGAAAATTTTTCCATTAAGAAAAAACTTTTAAACTTATAGACCATCTCCATATACCTTTCATATGAGTGGAGACTAAGAGTGGTATATGAATCAGCTCAGGCTGCCATAGCAGATTAACATAGACTGGATGGCTTAAACAATACAAAATTCATTTTTCAAGATTCTGGAGGCTGGAAAGTTCAAGATCAGGGTGCAAGCAAGGTAGGTGTCATTCTGAGACCTCTCTTCTTGGCTTGTAGGTGGCTACCATCTCACTGTTGTTCACGTGAGTTCATTTTTGCACACACATGGGGAGAGAAAGTTAGCTCTCTGGTGTATCTTCTTATAAGTAACAAATTCTATCAGATCAAGGCTCTACCCCTCTGACTTCACTTAACCTTAATTACTTCCATAAAAGTGCTATCTCCAAATACCACCACATTGGGGATTAGGACTTCAACATATTAATGCTATAGGGGACACAAACATGCAGTCCATTGCAAGCTGGAATAATTCTTAAAAATTGCATCCATGGATAATATGTCCAGTAGTCCAAATACAGGGTAAAATCAACTGATTTGGCATTGAGAAATACAGGGTCTTTAGAAAAATTTGTTCGATATAGGGGTCTTTGCATGACTCCATTCATCCGTTCTCCCATTTAAATATATTTTTAAAATATATTTGTAATTTCTAAAGCAATTGCTGTATACGTGAATGCTCTTTGTGGGAACAATGGAAAAGGCACAAGAACAGAGATTCTAGCCAGAGAAGAAAAAACAGAAATGATCACTAATCACCCTTTTTCTCTTGATAGAAGGATGAATGAATAGACTGATCAGTAGAATAACAGATGAATCCGTGGATAGTTTCTATATTTGCACTAGAACTTGATGTGTCTTTATTTGCAATTTGCAAATGGTAAAAAGAGATCAAAAGATTATGACTGAGGGCCCTGAATTTATAGATGAGCAGCTGCCAGTATTCCTGGCTTCACCATCCCACAATTCATATTTCACCTGTCTACATCTTTGCTCTTTCTCCCTCAACGACTCCTACCAAATGCTCTCAGCTCCTACTAAACCTTTAGGGCATACCTACTACTTCAGCATTCACTCTACAGGACACAAGAGACATCCATATAGCATATCCCAGGCCTATCATTACCCCTGGGTCTGTAACTAGGGTTCAAAATATATTGTCACCTATATTCTCCAGAGCCTTAAACCTCTTCCTCTGCCTCCTTGATTCCTAAACCTTAGAGAACTGTAGGATATAAGGCTGCTATTTCCCTATCTTATTTGATCAATAAAGGAGCATTGCCCAAAAAGTCATTCAATCTCCCAAGGTGCCTAAGCTCATGGGAACCACCCACTCCCCTCTGCATAGCAAATAAGTGTGCCAGATCCTTTCCCAATGAGTAGTCCTTAACACATCACTGTATGTACTCGCACATCCTGAAATTATCTGATCTCTTTGGTTGCTCTTTCTATGTCAATCTCTAGATGGTAAAATAAGGATTTAGTCTGGATGGCATAAAAACAAATATTCTCAAGCCTCCAGCCTGAGCCTCTTGTTGCAGCTTAGTTTAACAAAGAATCCTGCATTGGGAAATCGAGTATGAGGACTCAAGGGGGATTTGCCTTTGTCATCGCCTGTTGTGCATCTGTCTTCATCAGAGCCTCCTGAAGAAGAGCAGCTTTCCCTAGGCAGGATTCAGGCATTGCTGATTCCCTGGGGTAATACCAAGAAGTTTCAGTTTATCTCATGAAAAAATTAGCATTTGCTAAGATTTTAAATTATAGTTTTAAATATTTTAATGATAAAAGGGAAGTGAAATATGCCCAAACCCCAGATATTGAGTGTCAGCATAATAAGGAAATGGGCCTAGAATTATTATCTCATTCAATAAATTAGTTCAAAGGAAAGAAGCTGTAAACTGAAAGTTCCTTGATCATGAAAAATGTAACTACTGTGTAATATACCACAATACTTACTGCTCTATCTCCTGCCCTTTTAACTAATTGCAAGAAAATCAAGGGCAGCAGTTCTGAGGTTGATTTTGAAATCACTTTGTGGTAATTTAAAGTAATTGGGATTTTTCATGACAGTTGCTATAAAGAATATATAGCTTTGCTATTTCTTGTGACAGTTCTTTGAATTACACCTGCAGAAAAAGAAGTATGAGGCATTGTTGTTAATTTATAGCAATACACCAATTCCACCATCACGGGTTAGCATTACAAATGAGCAAAGGAAAAAAACAGCCTCTGGGTAAAATGAGAACTGCCTGTGAAGGTTCTTACCCAGTCCAGCCTTGTTTCTACCCAAACGCGCATTCATACCAACTCTAATACAGCCCTCTGAAGCCAATCTCCAACTTGGAGCCAAATGCCAACTCATTTGGAATCCTAAGTGCTAAGTGAAATGTTTAAAACATGCAAGAATCTTAATTAGTAAAGGATCAGAGGAAAAAATAAGTGTTCTATTAATAATTAGATAAACTTGAAGCATAATGACAAGTGCTCTGACGCCCTGTCTCTGCAATGCTTGCTGGGGGTAAAGCTTGTCAGTCGCTGCCTCCTTAGCACAAATTGCGTTTGAACTCAGGAAGGGCTCTTAAGAGCAAAAGAGTATAAAGATGTTTTCAGTATCTCCTCTTCCTTTTAGTGTCCCTGCTGTGTGAGCCCCACCATAATTAGAAGCTGGATTTAGTGGGATGCTTTAAGTGTTCAATTAGGTTTCTTTTCTTCCTACCAGTCCTGTTTTAATATGAATGAACACAAAGCCAATTATCATTCAGAAGCATGCTTTGAGTTGCGCTGACATTCTTCCTACATGTTTGACAATTATCACCCTGAGACATTGTCCTTAATTCAGATGGGGGTGGGGAGGAAGAATGGCCTAAATTTCTGTTTGAATACAACTAAAATCATGATGCCTTTTGCTCTCAAAATAGAATGATAGACCAGAGGCATGCTATTCAAAGTATGCTCCTCAGGCCTTTAAAAATGCAGAATCTAGTACCCACCTCAGACTGACTGAACCAGAATCTGCATTTTAACAAGGTCCTGGGTGATTTATATACACATTAAAGCTTGAACACCAATGATATGTAGTTATCAAAATATCTTTAATAATATATAATATCTGGGAGGAAAATATTGTGTCTTTGATTTGTTTCTTCCCCATAACTTTAGAATAAAGTATAGATTTTCAGCAATACTCAAAGAAATTAATCAGAATAGAACTGTCATGATAGACATCAATAAACCCACTAAAACTTTCAAGTCTCTCATTTAAGGTATGTAGAAAGATTGCATTTCCTTGCCTCCTTAGCTTGAGTATAGCTGGGAAGCTTGCTTTGGCCAATGAAATGAGAATGAAAGGGACATGTGCCCCTTCCATCTGAAAACATTTAGGAACTGGTACACCATTCCCCATGCTCTCGCTTCTACTGCCAAGGTGTTCATGGAAGTCTATGTTGACGTGGAAGTACTGTAACATAAAAAAAAAAAAGAAAAAGAAAAAGTAGTGCCATTTTTGGCTCTTTGCCAAAATAGCGAACATAAAGTGTAGAATTTTAACAATGTTCAAAGAAATAAATTAGAAAGTAACTCTGCCAACAAATGGAGGACAGCTGCCTCAACAGTGATGCCTTGACCCTCAGGGTGTTTTAAGTGAATGAGACATAAGCCTCTGAAATGTTGTTTTCTTAGTGCAGCATAACCTCACCTCTCCTGACTAACACAACTGACAATGTATAAATAAAATGAAGTAGAGAAAAGCAACCATTACCCATTGAACAGTAGAGGGCTAAGGAGCTTATTACAGGCATAGTCCAGCATCTGCATAGAAGCATCCATGTAGCCATAATATCTAGCATAACTTGAAAATTTCCTATTACCTTCAAATTTGGGATGGCACAGCTCCATAATGCAATATAATATCTTGTTTTAAAGCCTGTTAGAAATAGGACAATCATTCTTTCTTGGTTTAGGGAAGAATGAAGAGGCTCTAATGTAATTCAGAACCATCTCTTTTTCTTAAAAATACCCAAATATACTACTTTGTATTTGTTGTAAGTTTATCCATCTGTTTCTGATGTGCTTAAAAGTTTCCACAGGTTTTCTATAAAGCAAGGATGTCACTGGAGACTATACTTTTCCTATAGAACATGAATATACCTATTTAGTAAGAGTACAGTTATACATACTAGTTTTTATTGATTACTCATTTACCACCACTCATTGACTTTTACCAGAGGCAGAAGTGGACCTGAAGCTTACCCTCATTTTTCAAAGCACTAAATAGTACTGTACCATAGTTAATGATACCAACCATGCTTCTGACAGTGTCACTGGAATAGAGCTGGGCTCAGAAAATCCAATCTAGGCTTTAAGACATTTATTTCAAACACAAGGACACTAGGTACCCTTGTCAGAGGTTTAACTGATATTATGGTGAGAATAATTCAAATGCTTAACAAAATGCCGTGTTTGTATTCTTTTTCTAAATACTTGTAGCTAGAGGATGCCATACTCCAATTAAGATGTGTATGTGGTAATAGAAAAGGATCATTCAGGTATCTGTTCCATGATGCAAAGTCATTTGATGGAGAAATGTTGATGTAAGTAAAAAATATATATATATACTAATATACTAACATAAAGGAAGTAGTTATTGAACAAAAAATATGTCATGAGCTTAAACAGATTTTAACATGAAATAATTCATGCTCATCTTTGATGAAATATAATGGTATCTTTAAGAAAAAGGGACATAATTATTTGATTCAAGTCTTGTGTTCAAATTTTCCCTGGTCAATACAACAAAAAAGTATTAAACACAAATCAAGAAAATTTGTTTTAGGTGCGAAAATGGCATATTTTTAAAAACTTTACTTTTTAGCCATATCCTGAAACATTTTAAAATGAAATAATTACGGTGTCTGGGCTTTGCTTCACCATAATATGAGTAGAAGAGGGACGAAGTGAGTGTCTATACAGATAAAATAAGATTCGTCAATCATGATAATTGCTGAGACTGTGTGATGAGTACGTCAGATATGTTACAGTATTATCTCTGCCTCTGTAAATGTTTAAAAATTTCCATAATAAATAATTTTTAAGAGATTAAAAAAAAATAAGGTCTATAAATTAGTAGCTTGCCATGCCAAGCCCTGTGACTTACAGATCACAGTATGTCAAGGACAAAATGCTGTATTTGTAGAAGTGTAGAAAAAAGTAAAAGTGCACACAAGCAAACGCAGTCTCCTTATTACTTTTCCTGCCTACTCTGCACAAGGGGTTGTTACTGATTAAGTCTAATCAAATGCACTAACGGACATTTCAAAGGAACATCCATTTACAGAGACAAAGGAATAGTTTTTCCTATGAGTATTTCAAGCTTGTTGCTTTGAGTTGTCCTACCCTGTCTGCCCTTCTGGTGTGCCCCAACAGCAAAACTGGCTCTCAAATTAAGCATGTCTTTTATTTTTTGTTAATTCCAAACGAGTCATCATCTTCTTTAAAATTAATTGTCATGTAGTACAAGTCTAATTTTCTAAACATTCTCATACTTATCTAAACTTCCTTGAGCTTCCAAAGTGAATTAGATATACTTCAAATTTTGTCTTAATCATGCTTCTCTTTGAAAAATAAGATGCCATGGCTCTGTGGAAGTTTCTTTATTCTCTCTCTCATGGGAATTTACAAAAGAGCTAATGTAAGGGGGGTGGAGGGGAAACGTTTAAAACTTTGTAAATCTACAATAACCAGAAGATTCCAAAATAGTTTACAGACTAGGATTTTACCAGTTTTGATCACAAAAATCTACAGCAATGAACAGTTGCAAGATTATATTGTACCTTCTTCTAGTAATTATGTTTTCTAAAATGAATAGAATGGTAAAAGAATTTGGACACATAAATCATTAATAAGATTCAGTTAAGAAAAGTAAATGAGTCACAGAAATCATTTAAATAAGCTAGTGTCTTCCATCAGGTAAAACCTATAGTTAAGTACTACTTAAAATAATTAGTTAATTTAAGAAATGTCTGTTAATGTCTTTTGTCCACTTTTTAATAAGGTTATTTGCCTTTTAGTTTTTGAGTTGAGTTCCTTGTAGATTCTGGATCTTAGTCCTTTGTTGGAGATAGTAGTTTGCAAATATTTTTTCTCGTTCTGTAGGTTGTCTGTTTAAACTGTTATTTCTTTTGCTGTGGAGAAGCTTTTCAGTTTCAGTATTATTTGTCTATTTTTGCTGTTGTTGCATTTGCTTTTGAGTCTTAGTCAAAATTTGCCTAGGCCAATGTCCAGAAAAGCTTTATCTAGGTTTTCTTCTAGGATGTTTATTGCTTTAGGTTTTACATTTAAGTCTTTAATCCATCTTGAGTTAATTGTTCTATATGGTGAGAGATAGGGGTTCAGCTTCATTCTTCTGTATATGGCTATCCATTTTTCCCAGCACCATTTATTGAATAGGGAGTCCTTTCCCCACTGTATATTTTTGTTGACTTTGTTGAAGATTCAGTTGGCTATAGGTATGTGGCTTTATTTGAATTCTCTGCCCTGTTCCATGAATCTATGTGCCTATTTTTATACCAGTACCATGCTACTTTGGTTACTATAGCTTTTTAGCATAAGTTGAAGTCAGTAATATGATTCCTTCATCTTTGTTATTTCTGCTTAGGATTGCTTTGGCTATTTGGGCTCAAAAGACAACACACAAGCAGCCAACAAATATATGAAAAAATGATGAACATCACTAATCAGAGAAATGCAAATTAAAACCAAAATGAGATACCATCTCACACCAGTCAGAACAGCTATAATTGAGACATCAAAAAACCATAGATGTTGATGAGAATGCACAGAAAAGGGAACACTTATACACTGTTTTGGGGAATGTAAATTTATACAACGTCTATGGAAAACAATACGGAGATTTCTCAAAGAACTAAAAATGTAACTATTAGGCCCAGCAAACCCCCTACTAAGTATCTCCTCAAAGGAAAAGAAATCATTATAACAAAAAGACATCAACACTCATGTGTTTGTTGAAGCACTACTCACAATAGCAAAGCCATGGAATCAGCCTAAGACTCCCTCAGTGGATGACTGGATAAAGAATATGTGATATAGATACACCATGGAATACAATGCAGCAAGAAAACAGAATAAAATCATGCCTTTTGCAGAAACATGGATGAGGCTAGAGGCCATCATCCTAAGTGAAATAACTCAGAAACAGAATATTATATACTACATGTTCTCGCTTATAAGAGGGAGCTAAATAATGGTTACACATGGACATACAGAAGGCAATAATACACAATGGCGACTTCACAAGGGAGGAGGTAGGATTGGGAGGGTGAGTGCTGAAACATTACCTACTGGGTATAATGTTCACTATTCAAGTGATAGGCACACTAGAAGCCAATGCTCACCATTATTCAACATATCTATATAACAAATGTGCACGTGAACCTATAAAAATTAAAAAAATATTTAGTTTATATATAGAAAGAGTCATCAAGAAAGGAGTTTTCTCATTTGCCAAAGAAGTCTGCAATATT
Source organism: Homo sapiens (assembly GCF_000001405.40). Classification (NCBI taxonomy): domain Eukaryota; kingdom Metazoa; phylum Chordata; class Mammalia; order Primates; family Hominidae; genus Homo; species Homo sapiens. The sequence goes on from NC_000005.10 coordinate 118,455,931, forward strand.
TTCTAACCATCTAAAGATCATCTGCATGGAAGTGTAAATTGGTACAACCACCTCAGAAAACTCTTTGGCAACATCTATTAATGCTGAAAACATGCCCATCTTATTACCAAACACTTCTCCTTCTAAGTATATATCCAACAAAAATAAACACGTTTATTCACCAAAATACAGGTACTAGAATGTTCAGAGTAGTACTTTCATAATAGCTCCAAGCTGGAAACTCTCCAAACAGTTATAATCAGTACAATACATAAATTGTGGAATATGCAGACTCAAGGGCAGAATCCCCTGGGAAGAAATCATGAATCTCACTGTTATCGACAAAAGATGCTGACAAGCTGGTATAAACCTCCCTGAATAATGTCCCTTAATTACAAAACAATACTGTGAGTCAATGTTTTATGCCTTACTAGGGGTCAGTGCTATTGAGGTACAAATTTTAATCCATTCAGACAGAAGTCTAATTCTAGACCTGTTGGAATTAGTCCTCACAACACAGGTTAGCCCATTTTAAGCCCCTCCCATATTGCCCCCTGACATGAGTATTACTGGAGATAATATTAAAGTGTCATTTCCAGGAAATCCCTGGAAATTTCCAAATCTGTAAGCCACAATAGTAATACATTAAATCACTGACAACTCTACAGATCTTAGCAACATTGATTTCCAAAAGGTCAGGCAGAAAAGATCTGAAGCAATGGGATATGGGATTATATGAGGAAGTAGAGTGTGTGCTGGAAGGAATAACCCTAATCCACAGACAGAAAGTGTATACTTTGCAGGCCAGCAAGATCAAGAGCTGCACATCGAGTCTCTAAGTCTCTCCTCCTGGATTTGGTTTAGCTTCCTATAAGCTTATTCTACAAGTCCATTCTTTACTTTCATGATACTACCTGTTCTCGGAAATATATGTGTATATCATACATCTATACATTTATTTAACTATTATAAGCACACATGTCTTATGTCAGTTGGTATATTTACTGTACAGGTCACCCACAACTATACCGGTCTCCTTCTTTCTTTTTTGAGACAGTCTTGCTCTGTCTTTCAGGCTGGAGTAGTGCAGTGGCGTGATCTCAGCTCACTGCAGTCTTCAACTCCCAGGTTCGTGTGATTCTTCTGCCTTCGCCACCCGTAGATCTGTCAGATGGACAGATTTAACTAGTCCATCAGGAATTTGGAAAATTTCTACTTTTCTCAATTTTTTTGTGTGATATTAGAAGGACACAAAAATGTCTGGTTCCTTTTTTCTTATTATCATAACATTTATTTTGACATTTTTGTCAAAATAAACATGGCTTTAGTAGCATTAGATATATTAATTTTTAAACATATACATAAGTACAGAAAACTTTTAGAAGTTATTCTGGTTTACAAGGGTGAAAATCATCCACTGAAATTTGCTTTCTCCCCAAACTTCACTAAAACCAGAGTAAAAGGAGTCTTTTTTAAAGACTTAAACACATAAGGACAGAGTTAAGAGGACAGCAATAAAACAGTAGATGGTTCAAAGGAGATGGATGTGTAGTAACTGACTTGGTGATGGAAGAAAGCTAAGTCCCAAGCCAACTGAGGAGAAAATTTTGAAACAGCCTTATTTAGACCACAGAAGCCCTACAAGTTTAGGATCTTGTATCATTCAATAGCTCTGGAACCAGGGAAGAAATAAGGAAATGGGACTATAATCAAAAGTACTGTAGAAAAACTGCGAAGCAGTAAGATTGGTAATTAGATCTTCTAATCCATGTTTCTGGGCAACTTCCCTCACCCCAACTCAGCTTCAATTTCTGGATATAATATCTGAGGCTCTCTGGCTGGAGGGATGCTATGCACAGTTAAGAATATAAGTGCCTATTAATAATTTCAAACTGTGTCCGTATCCATTCCCAATTGTAAAAGCAAAAATAGCTTCACTTCCAGAATCCCAACAACTGATGGAAGGCTTTTTTCTATATAATCTGACCACCACAAGAGGAAAAACCAGAGATACTGTCATTAGAGATTGCCCCCACAAACAGCCCACTCAAGTCTCCCTACAATAAAGCATAACGTTCACCAGGCCTACACATGGTAGGAGAAAGGGGGGGATGGTCATCTTAATCATTAGCACGTACTCAAGGATGATCAGACATCTGAGGAAAAGCTCTAATCTGGAAGGTCGAAACCAAACAAACTTACATTTAAAAATGACTTGAAGAAAACAGGAGGAAACTTGACAGGAGAAGAAAATCTTAAATTATTATTTTCATTTACATTCTCAAAGAAATGAAAGAAGACACTGCAGTAAAAATTGGACACTATAAAAAGAAGATCCAAGCATTCTCATTGATCAATTCCCACCTATGAGTGAGAACATGTGGTGTTTGGTTTTCTGTCCTTGAGATAGTTTGCTCAGAATGACGGTTTCCAGCTTCATCTATGTCCTACAAAGGACATGAACTCATCCTTTTTTATGGCTACATAGTAACACTTGGACACAGGGTGGGGAACATCACACACCAAGACCTGTCATGGGGTTGGGGAAGCAGGGAGGGATAACATTAGGAGAAATATCTAATGTAAATGAAGAGTTAATGGGTGCAGCACACCAGCAGGGCACATGTATACATATGTAACAAACCTGCAGGTTGTGCCCATGTAGCCTAGAACTTAAAGTATAATAAAGATAGATAGATAGATAGATAGAAAATCCAGTAGAAAAAAAGTACTCATGAAAATTTTAAAAAGCACAATGGCTGAAATGAAAACTCAATGTAAGTATTAATAGGTCAAGAAGAGGAAACTTTTCTAGAAAGTAGAACAAAGACCAAGAAATGAAAAATAGCTTCAAAAGATAAGAGAATTAGGAGGAACAGTTCCTGAGATGCTGCATCCAAATAAGTTTTCTAAAAAGAGAAAACAAAGAAAGAGGAAGAATGGAAAAGACCAACATCATTCAACCTAAAATGCCAGATTGAAACAGCACACTGAGTGCCCAGCACGGCAGGTCAAAATATGCTTATTCTAAAACATAACTTGTTTTTTTGTTTTGTTTTGTTTTTTCAGAAAAATGATGACAAAGAAAATTCTACTTCTTAGCAGAACCGTGAGAAAGAATGGGGAAGAGTCCATCAAATGGACTGTACAAGGAATCAGAATGGCTTTGCAGTTCTCAATCGCAACCCTGAAGTCAAGATGACTGAAGAAATACCTCAAAATTCAAAAGAATAATAATTTCTAAAATAGAATATTATACTGAACCAAATTATCTGTCAAGTAAAGACATTTCAGAAATACATTCTAAAAGTATATATTCCACCCACTCACTCACGAAAAGCTACTAACGGGTATATACTAATAAAATAAGAAAGGGTAAGTAAGCAAACAAAAAGACTTAAGTATTAGAAAACAGGAGCCCAGGAAAGAGGCAAAAGGCCAGAAAAATCCTCAGATAGAGAAGAGAAAAATCCCAGGGTGTCAGTCATGCACAGACCTACACCACAAGCAGCACAGGCTGGAAAAGTATCACTTAAGAAACAGATGTCAAATAGTCCTAATTAAATATTTCTATTTTCCCTAAGGACAGGTGCTAGGATCAGGCTAGCAGAGATTCTTACACATTTGCCCTTTTAGCCTTGATTATATGCTGATGCTCTCCTACTCTCCTTTAAATGCCCTGTGTTCTGAAGCAGCCAACTTCACTCATTGCACAAAACATTTTGTCTTTGGATAAGCTTGAGACCTGCAAAGCAAGCCGGCGACCTTAAAAGGAAACAGAATGTAGCCCTCTCTCTCACTACATTGCTATTGGGTATTCAATATCAGTCCTGCTGGATACCCTGATTGCTGAGAGGGCCTCAGTCAGAACTTTGTAGGCTGACTTCTCCAAGAAGGCACTCTTGGAAACGGTAACGGTGCCTGAAGCCAATGAATCAGAGACTGCTCACTTTATCTTCTCCCGGGAGTCTTCATCTAAAGGTAATAGATTTGTGCTCACTGCTCAGTTTTTCCACACCAAGCAATATACTGTTTAGAGAAAACACATAGAAAGTAAATCATTTTTTAAAGCCAAGAAATGAGTCAGGCAAAAGACAGTGGCTACCTGGAAAAGAGAGGACAGGATGAGAGCATCCTGAGAGATGCATTTGGAGAAGGACCTAACCCTCGGTAGGCACACAAGCCTTTTGATAATTTAAATATATGTATGGTGTGTGCATATGTATGTTGATATGGTTTTGCTCTGTATCCCCACTCAAATCTCATGCCGAATTGTAGTCCCCACGTGAAGGTGGGCCCTGGTGGGAGATGATTGGATCAAGAGGGTGGTTTCACCCTTGCTATTCTCATAATGAGTGGGTTCTCATTGAGATTTGATGGTCTAAAAGTGTTTAGCTTTCTTAGCTTTCTCTCTCCTGCCACCACGTGAATAAGGCTTACATTTTGCCTTTCATCATGATTGTAAGTTTCCTGAGGCTTCTCAGTCATGCATTCTGTTAAGCATGTAGAACTGAGTCAAAACTTTTCTTCATAAATTACCCAGTCTCAGGTAGTTCTTTATAGCAGTGTAAGTATGGACTAATGCATATGAGTGTATGTAGGTATATATGTGTATTATACTTTTCTATAAGTTAAATTTTACAACATTAAAACAAGTGGAAATCATTTATAATCCAATCACACATATAATCCTTTTTATCACAATAGTGTTTCTATGCATGTTTGTGACATTTTTAATCCATTTTTTAAATTTAACAGCATATTGTGGACATTTTTGCAAAACATATCCATCTTTTTTAATGCATTATGTGAATGTTTCAAAACTTATTCAACTATTCTCAGTGAGCAACTTTCCATCTTGAAATTTCCCTTTCTAAAATGGCAACAATGATATCTGTTCCTTTTCCCTGTGCTCAAGAATGAAGTAACAACCCAAAAGACAAGACTGCAGAGCACTGAGAACTTGCTGGAATGCTAGCACTCCACAGATGGCTCTGTTCCATTCATTGAGAAGATAGTTTCTTTAAATTGTTATATCTATACATTTCTGTATCCCACTGTTTTCAAAGAGTCAAGAATGTATAATCCCAATAATAAACTTGAAAATAAATCTTCTTGGAAGAAAAAAACCTGTTATTTTTGTTTTAATTTTTAATTAGTATTCTTGGTATTCACATAAGAAATGCATAAATTTAAAAAGCTTAAGATCTTCTTGTCACCATCACCACCCCAACTCCTTTATATTCCCACTACCACCCCACTAGCAAGGCAATTAGTGATCAAAGTGTGATATATATCCTTTCACATATTTCTCTATAAAATCTTCTCTTTTTAAAGAAAAGAAACTACTTGCAATACAGATTATTCCACACAACCTCTCTGGAGGCTTCTTAGCATCAGAGATAATAAGAAACCTGATTCCAGCTAACACTGCTGCAGAAACAAAGGGACTGTATAATAATCTTGTTCTTAGAAGTGCCCATGATTCTTTTCACTTTCCTTTGTATATCAATCTACCCAAATCACTATGCAACTGTGCAGTTTTCTGTTAATGGATCCACAGGGCCCAACTCCTTTGACAGAGACCATTCAAATTCGTTCAGGAAATCTTTTGCAAGCAACCCTCATGAACCAACTCATATTTCAGAATCCTTGGAACTAAGTTTCTTCCAAGGCTATACATAAGTGGCAACTACCATCCACTCCCATGACTCCGCTGGCTTCAAATCAAACAGTCTCTTTAGAAACCCAGATACCTTTAACCAACCATCGGGGCCTATTACAAAGCACAGCATTCACAGAAAGACATCAATCTGCACTTTTTGTAAAAGAAGCACAATGTCCTTCTTGAGGGCTTGTTGAACAGCAACTGAGAAAACACTTGAAGCCCAGAATCTTGTCCATAACCTCAGTTCAAACCTCTTCCCACCCCGTGCCCCTTCTTGTTCCCAACACTCTCCTCCTGCCCCCATCCTTCCTGTAGTTTAATAGAAGAGGTTAATAGCTTACAAAAAGTAGAAAATCAAAAACAGACCCAAAAATCTTTCCCAGTGACAAAAGAATTAAGCTGGGTCTGAAATTTTCAAAAATCAATCAGGATCGTAAATGCAGTGGTGAGAATGAATTCATACATGTTTCTTCTCTTTATATATCAAGTGGAAAGAAAATATCACAAACCGATATAAGAAAGGGCCAGGATTTTAAGGTTACTTCCTGAATTCTAATTCATCCAATATTTAGGAACTTTGCATTGTGAGCAAAATGAGTCATAAAGCAAAGCATGCTTTCTCTAGACTTTGGTAAATGAAAACCTACATTTTTTACCCACAAAATTCTTTAACTATATTTTCTAGAACTAAATGTAACTATTTTAAAGAAATTCAAACATTCAAAAATAAAAATTGGAAATACAAGGCACATGTCATTCTTTCTTCATTTGTCACTGTCTTCATACCATGCCTCCCAAGTAGCTGGGACTATAGGCTCACACCACCACACCCAGCTCATACCATTTTATTTTCTATTATTACGCAATCAGATTGTGTTTTTTTAATTTTTTTTTTTGAGACCAAGTCTCACTCTGTCACCTAGGCTGGAGTGCAGTGGAGTAATCTCAGCTCACTGCAACCTCCACCTCCCAGGTTCAAGTGATTCTCCTGCCTCAGCCTCCTGAGTAGCTGGGATTACAGGCACACACCATCACGCCTGGCTAATTTTTGTAATTTTAGTAGAGACAGGGTTTCACCATGTTGGTCAGGCTGGTCTTGAACTCCTGACCTCGTGATCTGCCCACCTCGGCCTCCCAAAGTATTTTATCATCATTTATATGAATAGATAATTATTTCTATTGCTGCCTCAGATTTATTGAATGTCACCACTGTAATAGCCTGTGGTACCATGTGAAATATGAAGCTATTAAAAAATAAGTGAAAATGAAGTTTAACTTTTTCTGTAGAAGTTCTTTTTCAGGGTATATTTTTATTTATCAATAGGAAAATAGGACATAGCTTTTGCCGTTATACTATCAAAGTGAATGTAGTACCTTGTTTATTGGTAATTGGTTATCCTTAATTTTGTTTTCAAATTGAAAATTTTAAGTTCCTATCTTGTTTATTCAACAAATATTTCCAAAATAGCTCGTCTGTAAAAATATAAATCCCTTCTCAGAACCATTATTATCAGATCATTTTAATTACATTCCAGTCCTTTGAAGAGAGATGAAGCTTCTACCTCAACATGTACAAGTTCTCTGAGAGCAGAGATCATGTTTTAGTCACTGTCAGTACCTAGCACAGTTCTTGGCACATAGTAAGCAGTCAATAATTGTGTGATCAATGAATAAAATTAAATGAATGAATGGACATTAAAGATATCATGATAATTAATGTAACTTTTATATATTCAAGACAGAACTGAATAGGTTTCTGATAGGATGTGGATATTCAAATCAATGTAACAATTCAGAGATTCCCTAAGGCATTTATTAATCCATTTATTCATTCATGCCTTTGTTATAAAGAGACTAATTGTTTTCTCCAGTAAAACAGACTATAGTTATCATTGCCATCTATATAGTATAGAATAACTTATATCCATAGGAAAATAATCTTTTTCCTTTTGTAGTGACTCAGAGTAAATCCAGAAATGATTGATAACCCACCTTGATACCAAAGAAGAGTAGTAAGGTGAAAAATAGCCCCTATCTATTAGAATGTCTCTGAGACTAGGAGGAAAAGACTTCCCAATGTATCTTCTGAAAGAAGCCAATTTGTTGGAATCTCAACACCATTTTGGTTGATAACCATGATACACATTTAGTCAGCCTCAGTCATTCAGTCTAGTGTTGAGACAGACAAGTAAATGAGTGATATGGTAGCATCATGCACAGAGTATTTGGAAGGGTATACGGACTCCTAGCCCAGGTATTTTGTAGGTTTAGAATTGGAGAAGTCTTCCCAGAAATGTTAATACTTACAGCTTGGCCCAGAAGCACAAGAGCATAGCAAACATCAGTGACAGAGTCTGAGATGGAAGAAGAGACACATTAAAAGCTCAGAGGCAAGGGAAAGCCTGGAGCATACAAGCAAATTGAGTTATTCAGTAGACTGGACAGAGAGGGTGAGCCAGTCAGGGTAAAACTGATAATAAATGCTATTAACCAGGACTAGACACAGGGGTCCTCAAACATCACACCAAGAAGCATAGACGATCTTACAGGTGAAAGTGAATAAATGAGAGATTCAAAATAAGGGCACATTATAATCGGTTTGCATTCAAGGACAAAATTTATGTGAAGAATGTATTGGAGGGGGCAGACTGTGGGCAGATAAACTAGTTTAGGAGGTTATTGTAGTTACATAAGCAATAAATTCCGAGGACCTTAACAAATGCCTACTACTAATGTATCATTAATCCTAGAAAACTTATTTTATTTGGAGCATCTTCTTCAATTTCTTCTCTCCTTTGCTTAAGAGTTTACTCAGATATTTGACCAAGTTACTTACTACCCCACAGGAATGACACTTTCTGAGATGTCCATGTACCTAAAATTACTAGCCAGCCAGTAACTGATATACATATATATACACAGAATCAATTTAAGTCTAAGTAAGTCTCACTTTCAAAAAACAGCATGATTACTATGCTCATGTTTATTTTTACAGTAGTCTCATTATCATCCATCCCAAACTTTATTTCATAGCATACACAATACATGATCAGGAAGCACTGCACACTATCTGATATGAAAATATAAAATGATAATTTCACCTAGCTCTTTCTACCATTAGTAGATGCTACTCATTTTGTAAATGTCTAAAATGACCATTTGAAATAAAATAATTTGTGGTCAGAAAAATGAGTAAAATAATGTGAAATACATAGTCAGAAAAATAAGAATGAATGTATTCTTTTTAATAGCTATTTAATCATGTTTTTGATTCATGAACAAATGCAGACACTAAATTATATCATATGTAATAAAGTGATCTGCATACCATTGCTAAAGATATTGCTTGCAAATACAGGGAGATGTTTTACCTGGCAAATAAAACAACCAATAAAAAACCAAATGGTGAACATTACAAGACACTTATTTTATTTCATATATAAATTCCTCAGTATATATAAAATTCTGTATTTTAAAAAATCAGTAAGAATTACAGCCACATAGACCCAACTATAACTAGTTCTTTGTAACTACAGTGATGATTACTATGCAATCCTGAGGAAAGCTAAGGCAAAAACTAAGATTGAAAACTACTTTCTGAAATGTTTGAGTTATGTCTTTTATTCAAGCAGTTACTTTATTCCTTTTACTATTTTTTAAAAACACTTTTACTTTAAAAACCAAAAAGAATGCTTTTCTCATTATATCCAGAGAGAGAAAGAGGAACCAAATATTTTACCATTTGGTATAATCTCAATGAAAAATAGAGGTTTATTCTCAAATAGCATGTAGGTTAATTGCATTTTGAGTCAAGAAATAAAAAACGTAGCTTTTCAATAGAATTATTCAACAAGCTAATAGAGGTCAGACTGAACAATGGTCACTATTCCTGGAAGCAGAAATAATAACTGCTGTTACGAAATACAAGGCCCTGGCTGTTGTTTTTCTTCTCTCAAGAAAATTTATAATGATTTTTGTTATTAATCTGTTTATAAAATTTCTAATAGAGAGAAGAGTGTAATAGTGAATGAGAATAAGCTAGAAAGTCACTGACTTTCCAGTTCTGCCACCCAGGTTAAAACTCATTAACATTTTGGATTTCCTAAGTATTGAATAATAGTCAGAGTGAGGGAATCACTTCTCAGGATAATCAATGCTGGAAGAGAAAAATAACTTAGAACCTCCCTAAGTTCTACAAGAGGGAGAGAGGGAGGGAGAGAGGGAGAGAGGGAGAGAGGGAGAGAGGGAGGGAGGGAGGGAGGGAGGGAGGGAGAGAGGGAGAGAGGGAGGGAGGGAGGGAGGGAGGGAAGGAGGGAGGGAGGGAAGGAGGAAAGGAGGGAGGGAGGGAGGGAGGGAGGCAGGGAGGCAGGGAGGGAGAGAGGGAGAGAGAATAGAGGAGTTTAAAAAGATTAGACATTCTTTTTTTAAAAAAAAAGTAAGGGAAGGGAGAGAATAAAAGGGAGAGACAGAAAGTTAGAATGCAGTGTGAGATTCAAAAAGAAAGAAAAAAATGAAAGGCAGAAAGTCTACTTTAAACTTTTAAGTTCAGGGATACGATTTCAGGTTTGTTATATAGGTAAACTTGTGTCATGAGGGTTTGTTGTACCGATTATTTCATCACTCATATATTAAGCCTAGTACCCATTAGTTAATTTCCTGATCCTCTCACCCCCCCACCCTCCAAAAAGGTCCCAGTGTATGTTGTTTCCCTCTATGTGTCTATGTGTTCTCATCATTTAGCTCCCACTTATAAATGAGAACACATAGTATTTGGTTGTCTGTTCTTGTGTTAGTTTGGTGAGGATAATGGGCTCCACCCTTATCCATGTCCATGCAAAGGATATGATCTCGTTCTTTATGGCTGCACAGTATTCCATGGTGTAAATGTACCACATTTTCTTTATCCAGTCTAAAATTGATTGCCATTTAGGTTGATTCCATGCCTTTGCTATTGTGAAGTGCTGCAATGAACATGTGCGTGCGTGTCTCTCTAATAAAATGATTTATATTCCTTTGGGAATATACCCAGTAATGGGATTGCTGTGTTGAATGGTATTTCTGTCTTCCGCAGTGGCTGAACTAATTTATACTGCCACCAACAGTGTATAAGCGTTCCTTACAAAGTCCACTTTTAAGTATATTTTCTTCCCTACAACACTCAACATGTTCTAAGTAGAAATGTTTATAATTGTTTGCCTTTTCTTAGAAATAACAGCACTAAATAAAACAAGAGCTATTTTTGCCATACCTGCATTCCCACAAGTATTTTTTAAAATAGCAGCAAATGTAAAAAGTTTTGAAACAAATGATTAACTATTTTAAATGAGAAAATACAGTAAAAATATGCTTCTCCACAAAAATTACGCATAGCATATATGTAAAAAATGTCACACTGAAGCACTGTTACAATTCATCCTCCATATGTCCAATATTTTGAATAACATAATATCTTACAAACACAAATAAGGAAACATTGTTAATTATATCAAGCATAGACTGTTTTATGAATCAATTATTTGAGAAGCACTTTACCAATCAACATAAATAATAATTCAATAGTTATATTGAAGTGTTCTGAACTAGAATACATACATTCCAACAAGTTGGCAATAGACTGCTTTTGCAATCTGCTTTTCATCTCCCTAAAAAATAAATTGCTCCGCATAAACAATATTTCAGAAACTGACAGAGTTGGCAGCTCTGCTGAAGACAGCAGGGATATTAGCAACCATGACTGATAGCAAAATTGGGGGTTGCAGAAGGAGGAAAGAGTACACGTTCAAATTTAAGGAATAGCGCTTCTACTTCAGATTCTTTTCAAAAAATGTGGGATGACATATTGAGGTCACCACTGATTAAAGAGATAAATCTGTAAGGGAGATTTTCACCTCCTGTGAAATCTTCAGAGAAACCACTTGGAGACACACTGGCCTACACCTTCCTGCTGTGGACACACCATGGGTGCCTACGGCTAAATTTCTCTAAGGTGGGTTTGCCCACTGGATGGCATGGCTAATTAATGAAAGAAGCTGAAGACTTAGTCCTCCTTGATGTAATGACAGTATGAAAAGCAGCGAAGCTCGCTCTCTTATATCAGATCTACCAGAGCAAAGCTGGAAGAGCAAGTTGGTAATTCTTTGATGTAGAACCCTCAGTTTAACAGTCAGTTTTCCTCACCAATTTCCTCTAAACTGTATTTACTGAGACCATCTGTTTAGCTTCTTTCTAAAAATATTTTCCTCGAAAATTTATATACCTTGTCTTGAAAGGGAGATGATCTACTTGTTATTAAATAGTGTGAAAAAAATACATTTCCCTGGTATCCCAAAATAAAGCATTCCATTCTGTCAGTTTGTAGAGATTTTAGTTATTTACTATCTCAGGAATGAAGGAAATGCTCAAATTCATTCTGTCTAGCAGAAACTACTGGCTGCCCACCATACCTAGTCTCCCTACCTTGTTACTAATAAACCCTGAGTTTAACTAGAAACATGGCACCTAGCCATATGTTTCCAGCTTCCTTTGCAGTTAAATGTGGCCATGTGACTACATTCTGTCTTTTAGGATATAATGAAAATTATGAGGACAACTTGCAGGCATTGCCTTTCTAAGAAAGGAATATGCCTTTCTCTTCCCTTCCCCCTATCCTACTTGTCATCCCTTTAAAAAGAACAACCAATTCACATAGAGTGACCATATGGCCTGGTTTATCTAGGACACTCACATTTGCTCCTGTTGCTCCAGGGACTTGTGGTCTCCTAATCTTAGACCATTAAATGGAAGCTGTATTAAGAATCACCAAGTTACAAAATAGGAGTCACTGCTATTTTGGCCATTTTAGAACATCTGAAAGGGCACTGTATGATTAAGAGAAAAACATTAGAAATCTTGTTAAATGTTAGAATGATACATGATTATTCCATTCGAGGTGTTCAAATCTAGGGAGATATTGAACATTTAAACAAATAATTTTAATCAAGGAAGAATCCACCTCCACCACTCACAAAAAAGCTAGGAAACTTGAAGGGAAAAAAAAAAGCAGTTTTTTCCTCAGGAAACTTAAGGAGGCTTCTTGGATAAGGGAGCGTTTGGCCTGGGCCTTGCATGGTAGATATTAAGTAGTTTTTAAAAGGCAACAAACAGTTCTAGGTAAAGAGATTAGCATGAGCAAAGATACAAATATACGAATGACATTTTCCAAAAATGGGAGAGTATAAAGTGTTAGGTGGGTAGGATGTAGGAAAAGCTGAAACAAATGTTCTAGTTTAGTATCTAATTTTGGAGAAATTTCAATGCTGCTCTGAGAAGTTTAGTTTATTCTGCAGAAAATGTGAAGCCACTGAAGGTTTCACTCAATCTGCCTTGCAATGGACAGAATGAATCCAAGAGAGGTAATAGTGTTCATATCTATAGGAACATGACTGACTAGATATGGTTAGTGAGGGGAATGAATTAATGATAAATGGTGGGATACTTTTTGAAATAACATTGGTCTCCACTCACATTTTCTGTCATCTTTTGGCCCTTTCTTCTTCCCGCTCCTCTCATTCAGCCAGTTAGATTGTCCTTTGCTGGAATTTCAAAAACCTGAGGCGTGAGAAACTCAAAACTTGGGGAAGAAAAGTAAATAGATTTGGAAGAAATCAGGAAGAGAAAAATCAGGCTATACCCCTTCCATACTCCATCATGCAAACATACCCAAGATTCCCCTGGACTGGGAGAAGAGAAAGTTAGAGTATTGTCTATTGGAACCTAGACATTGGTCCCTAATAAATGGACCCTCCATTGTGGCTGTCCCAAGAACTTCCAAGAACCTGTGGGCCTTTTCCTAGGTAAAAGAACGTAGAGAATCTGCAGATCAGAAATAGAAGCATGGCCTTGCAAGACCAACAAGCTCTTAATCAACTGCAAGGGTTCATCATGACTCAGTCCCGGCAAAAGCAGCTGAATGATTCCCATGTGTCCAAGAGTACAGAAAAGTAGGAGAAAGAAGTGGTGGGCTGGCAAGGGGCTTCCAAACAAGAGCTTGGGACTTTGTCAGGTAACTTGCTTGTGCCAGTGACCAGTTACCCAACAGGATGGGTATGACCGCAGATGTAACTCTGCCAGATGGGACAGTAAGTCAGATAAATCCACCTCACCACTAGCACTAGGCACTTGTAGAAGCCTTCAAGAACTTAGATTCAGCAGAAAAAGAGACACCCTAGTCAGAGAATAGTTTTCTGCCACTCTAGGGAAATAGTTGCTCAGAATAAAAATGAAGTTCAGTTGTAGAAAAAGTTAAAAATTTTTAGTTTTACATGCTAAAATTTTAACATTATGTGGTGACCAGATCACCACATAACATCTCTGAATCTCTAGCCCGGGAAACATGAAAAGATGGTAGTAATATGATAGGTAACACAAATGGAGAAGAAGAAAATTACTAGCCTAGCAGAATTTTTAAAAATTGTCTCTCAATTAATGATGGAAATAATTTACTTAAGAAATTACTCTTCTTTTTTCTCTATTTCTTCAACAAAAGACTTATTGGTAAAATTTCCTTCATGGACTTTTATTTGTAAATCAAATTAAGTGGGGGAAAAGGTATAACAAATTAGAACCTCAGAATTAAATTAGACGTTATAGTGAACCCTAAAACTAAGTTAAAATGACAACCAATGAAATATAAAATATAAACATTAAAATTCTTTGAAAACTTTTTAATTAAATGTTTTCTGTTTAGTTTATTTACTAGTATTATAATATTTTATAATTAATATTTCAGCAGCACTACTAAGGAGGTTATTACAGTTACATAGGCAATACATTCTGAAGACTTTAAACACCATCTACTAATGTATCATTCAACCTAAAAATATTACCTCCTTTTATTTTCAGCATTTTTCTCAATTCCTTCTCTCCTTTGCTTAAGACAGTTTACTCATATTTGAAAAAGATACTTACTGCCCCATGGAACTAGCACTTTCTAGGATGTCCATATACCTAAAATTACTGGCCAGCTGGTAACTGGGATATATATATATTTGCATAGAATTAATTTTCTAGTCTAACTAAATAAGGCTCACTTTCAAAAAACATTGAAAAAAATCCATGTATGAGCTAGTATAGAATTTAACCACCATTTATAATTTTATTGTAAAATATATATTCCATGTACCAACTGCCTTACCAAGTAATTTCAAGGAAATTAAAGAGGAAAGGTGCAATGAGGTGGAGAGGAATATGAGAAGATAATAAAAATAATAAGGGAGAAAATAAAAAAAGGAAGAAGATCCTCATGATCCAAATGTGACTTTAGCAATAGGAAAAATGAATCTTAAAATTTTGTTCAAATTCTCTATGCTCCTGGAAACTTATGCTGTACCAACTAGTGAGCATGCTCACTTCAGCAATGTCCTGCACCTCTATCTGAAGTGGCCAAGGGAAGGGGAGGAGCCATCAGAAAGGAAGATGGAATACAATTCCCACACAGAAACATCACAACTGTTGGGCCCCTTAGGGAGGTCAGGGTGGAAGCAGACTTTTAAGAGATGGATATGTTGAGTGCACCCCTGGGAGGATTTACAACCATCTGTATCCTTTGAGGGCAAGTATTCCTTGCTATTGCCTCATTTTCAGTCACCTACAAGACACTACCCACTTCCACTGAAACAATCAATATCAAGATGGCAAGACCTGTATTTATCATCGCAGATAGTAATGTTTTAAACTCTGAGCACTTAAAAAGAACCAATTTTAAAAGTAAAATCAATTGATCAAGTACTTTACATTTTCTAGACCTCAATAAAAACTAGCATGTGATTAAATGAATTATTATATTTTATTCCAGAGGGCCAAAAATTGCTAAGTACCTACTCCAGATATATTAAAAAAGCACATATAAATCAGAATTAAAATCTGTTTTGTACTTGTTTTATGTTATTTTGACATCATACTACTTTTTTATCTAATAAATCATGATTTACTTCTAGTAAGTTTTTAACATAATTCAAACATAGTAAGAGGTTATTTATATATGATCAGGCAATATTTAATCCGAATTAATTAGGACAACTTTCCAGTGCATTCAAAATTAAATTTGACTAATGCTCCTTATAAAAAAGGTCAAGGAGGCTGGGCACAGTGACTCGTGCCTGTAATCCCAATACTTTGGGAGGCCAAAGCTGGAGGATTGCTTGAGGCCAGGAGTTCAAGTTCAGCCTGGACAACAGAGTGAGACCCCATCTCAACAACAGCAACAAATATATATATCACGGAGAAACATTTTATTGTTAATTCATCATGCAATTGCACCATGAAGTTTTTGAAAGAAAATAACATATTAAGATGTTCTTAAAAATAGGACACCAGAATGGAAACACATCAGATAATTCATTTGCAAAGAAATATTCAATGTTGTTAGGACTCAGAAAACAATACCCCTAAGTATGGTGCTTTGACATACCAAGTGCTTGGAACTAAAACAGAACCAAAGCCTCTTACCTCTTTTTTCTCCTGCGAAGTATAGGAAGGGGCTTTCTCTGAACTTCCTTTTAGCTGCCTAAAGATAGATCCTCCAAAAACCACAATTGTCATGAGTGTCCTCCCCAGGAATCTCAACCAGAGAAGACTAATTGTATCACAAGAGAAGAGTTTGGAGGTCAGCGTCACAAACAACCAATCTTTGTCACAAACTATTACCTATTTATCTTCCCCCAAAATCGTTAACTTTCTCTATGTTGCTTACATGCCCCCCCCCACCTTCCCTATGAGGAGGGCACATAAGCTTTTAAATTTTATTAGGTTATGGGGTACTCACTTTTCCTTCCTTTGATGCCCTCAGGCACATAATACATTTGTATGCCTTTTCTTCTGTTAGTCTGTCCACTGTCAGTTTATTTAATAAACTTAATCATCAAACCTTTGGAGGGAAAGTTTTATCTCCTTACAATGTCAATGATTAAGTACCCAAAAACTTGAAAGTAAATATTTTTAGATTTTTATTTTTGTCAGACATTTTATGGAAGAAGTACAGTTGACCCCTTAAATAACTTGGGGGTTGAGGGCTGCTCTGTCCCCCTGCACAGTTGAAAACCTGCATACAATTTCTGACTCCCCAAAAACTTAACTACTAACAGCCTACTGTTAACTGGAAGCCTTACCAATAACATTAACAGTCAATTAACATATCTTTTGTATATGTGTTATATACTGTGGTCACACAATAAAGTAATCTAGAGAAAGGAAAGTGTCATTTTAAAAATCATAAGGAAGATAAAATATATTTACTATTAAATGGAAGGGGATCATCAGAAAGGCCTTTATCCTCATCGTTCCACTGAATAGGCTGAGAAGGAGGAAGAGGAAGCATTGGTCTTACTGTCTCAGGTTGTATATGGAGATATGGAGGTGGTGGAAAGGAAGGCAGGAGAGGCAGGCACATGGGGTGTAACTTTGATTAAAAAAAAAATCTGCCTAGAAGTGAGCTCACATAGTTTAAATCTGTGTTGTTCTAGAGTCACACTCCCAGCTTCCTAGAAGTAAATAAAATGATTCTGAGGGGGAAAAAAAGTGATACAATATGCAAACCATACCATCTTGACCCTCCTTCCCCAGAACCTTGTATAATCAATCTTTATTCACTCATCTTTAAAAATCTTTGCTTTGAAGAAGAGGATATTGGCAAAGGAGATAAATTATGATGTTATGTAAGTAATAATCTCTAAATTCTCCCACTTCATCTTTTTTTAAATTATTTCAGCAAAACTTAGAGAAACACATCAAGCACCAGAGACCTCTGGGATCTTCTCCACCTGGCTTTGTGGTGTTGGTCACGTAAGAAGGCTTCCCTGAGTTACCAAGCATTAGCATGTACAGGTCTTCGTGATGAGACTTTTCAGATAACTGAGTCCTGAGATAAGTATTTAGAATATCTGGGGTGTTCTGCTATGATTACATTAAAACAATTAGCACAAAAACCCTGAAGCATTCAGGAATGATTTATTCTGAATCTATTCTGAATTAGCAAATATTCCTTAGAGTTGGGAGATAACAATACATCGTCTTCATGTTAGCACCTTTGATGGACCCCTTTTAAACATGTATTCTGTACTTTTTTGACTTCCTAAATTCTTAAACTATGCTATAGATGGTAAGGAACTTAGAGGCACTGTGGATGGGAGAGGAGTTTTATACTAGCTGAGTAATTGTGGGAATATTAATATCTCAGAGTCTCAAGTTTCTATCTCTTTAAATATGTACTTCTTAGTGCTGTTGAGAGGCAAAAATGTAGTAACATATCTGAAATGGAAACAGTGCCAAGAACTAAATTCTCAATAAATGTTAGTTACCTGCATTTCTTCTCTACCCTCTAACCCAAACACTACATATGCTTACCATTTCCCCACCTACTGCAACCGTGAAACTGTACTGGCTAACTGTTGCTAAGGTTCTTGAGACACAGGGTGCCTTTTGCACCAACCTCCACTTTTCCCCCTTCTCCAGACAATCTTCTCATATCCCTGGCTTTCTAATGAATTGTTTCAGCATCCGATAGGAATGTCAATTACAGTTACTAATCTCTCCAACCCATTTGTACCAGATAAAGGACTTGGGCTGGAAAAAGCCAAACAAACAAACAAACATACAGAAATCCTGTCTCAAATTGGCTCAAGCAATTGGGAAATGTATGTTCTCACATTTTCATAAGTTCAGATGTAAAGGAGACTTCAGAAGTATTTGATGTGCCCAGGCTCATTCTCTTTCCCTTTTATGCCACATACAAAACTTGCTTTATCCCAAGGCTGTCTTACCTTAGTCATAGGAAGGTTATCAGAAGCAAATAGGGTTGCAGTCTTCCTTGTCACATCTGAAAGGAGAGAGAGATAAAATTTTCCCAGTTGTATTAGTCTGTTCTCATGGTGCTATAAAGAACTACCAGAGACTGGGAAATTTATAAAGGAAAAAGGTTTAATTGACTCACAGTTCTGCATGACTGGGGAAGCCTCAGGAGGCTTACAATCACAGCGAGTGATAAAGGGGAAACAAACAACCTTCCTCACAAGGTGACCGGAAGGAGAACGAACGCAGGAGGAACTACCAAACATTTATAAAACCATCAGGTCTCGTGAGAACTCCCTCGCTATCACGAGAATAGCATGGGAGAAACTGCCCCCATGATTCAATTACCTCCACCTGGTCTCTCCCTTGACACGTGGGGATGATGGAGATTACCATTCAAGATGAGAGTCTGGATAGGAGCACAGCAAAACCTTATTACCAATTATGAACTAAAAGTACCTCAGTTAACTATGATTGGGTTGTTAGGCCATGTGGACACCATTTACTAATGAAGGTCACCTAGGGAAATGCACTGATTGGCTTAAGTTTAGATTATTGAAAATATACAGCAACTGGAATTACAATGATTTGATTAAACTAATATCTATTCCTTGAACAATGAGATCTCAGTTTCCTCCCTCCTAAACTGTACCAAAATTATAGCAAGGGGAATTTTTTTAAGGTTTAAACTCACAAGGGTGGGAAACAATGAAGGAGCAAACACCAGTGTAACTGTAAAATCTGTAATAAAGATGAACAAGTGATAATACACCCAGGAGAGCCAAATCTCAGATCAAAACTGAGAATTTACCCAATTTATATAACAGAATTTTCAATAGGCACAAAAGCAGAAAATACAAAGCGGTCTACTTCTGGTCATAACTGCTGGATATCAGCACCTTGTTATAGTTTTTTTGCAGCTTTATTGATATGTAATTCATATATCATAACATTCACCTGATTAAAGTGAGCAATTCAAAGATACTTCTAGTATAGTCAGAGTTGTGCACCATCATCATAATCTAATTTTAAGACATTTTTATAATTGCAGGTCTTAACTTAAATGCCACCTCCTTACAGATGCTCTACCTGCCTATCCTTAATAGAACTACATTCTTTATTTCCCACTTCTTTCCTTTGGACACACATAACAATCAGTAGTTATTTCCCTTAGTTATTGGCCTCCTTGTTTGTTGTCTGCCTCTCCCACCACAATGTAAGCTCCTTAAAGCGGGGCTCTTTTTTTTTTATACTTTAAGTTTTAGGGTACATGTGCACAACGTGCAGGTTAGTTACATATGTATACATGTGCCATGTTGGTGTGTTGCACCCATTACCTCGTCATTTAACATTACATATATCTCCCAATGCTCTTTATGTCTCTCTTGATTTTCTTTGTAGTCCAGCTAGTAGTGAAGCACAGGGCCTGCCTATATTATGTGGTCACTAAAAACATTTGCTGAATGAACGAACTAGCAAGACGTAATTACCACAGTAGATGGGCACTGTGGAGCAATGGGGAATCGGTCATCATAGGGAAACAGTGACAGCAGGAGGGCACAGAGCAAATAAACCAGCTGTCTGTCTGGTGTTTGGAAGATGAACGAACCCTATGAGACTGAGAAAACCCCTTAGGTTCTTTAACAATTAAGGAGAGTTGGGAGTAAAGACCTCGAGAAGAAGATAGCACTGCTAATAAAATAGGTGGGTCTCTTGCAATGAATTAAAAAAATAAAAAGATATGCTCATATTTGCAGCTATACTGGCAAAGAAATTCATATTTCTCACATTAACGCATTAAAATACACAAAGTAAATGTTCCTTTATGCATCAATCCCATAGCCGGTGTTGTTAATTAAATTAATGGTGGTTATACAGGGTACTGCAGAGTTCTGGAGCTAGAAAGCCAGAATTTGTATCCTCATTCTGCCACTTATTAGCTATGTGACTTTGGACAAGTTACTTAGCTGCTTTGTGCTTTCATTTTTACATTTATAAAACAGATATATTAATAGTTCCTATATTGTAAGAGCTGTTTTCAGTATTATATGAAAATAATCAGAAAACTGTCTGTTACATACTGAGTGCCTTATATTACCTAATATTGTAGAAGTAGCAGTAGCCCTTATAGTGCTGGCAGTGGTGGAGGTGGTAGAAATAGTAGTAGGTAGTAGTGAAATGATAGAGGTGCACCCCATTATGACTGTTTTATGGGGCAAGAAATTCAGATTTAGCTCAGTGCCAAGCAGTGTCAAATACAGGGTACTAAATTAATATTGAATTGACTTGCACCCACGATGTTTCCTATCATACCACAAGATGATTTGACACAATTGATTTTTCTTCAAGAAGTAAGTGAATCAGCAGATTTGTAGTCGCTGCTGTTGGCAAACTGATATCAGGTAATTCGTGCTCAACTTTGGCCCACAGAAAGTGTCAGAAAGACAGCCATATTCTTGGGTGTATGTGTGTAAAATGATGTGCATTCGACTGTGACTCTGTTGCAAGAAGGACATAAGAATTTCATTCTTTTAGGAGATGAAGTGGGAAAATAATGGACAGTCCTGAAAAATAAGCCATGGTATTCATAAATCAGGAGAATCATTTTTAGAGGGGAAAGTGGCTGGTTTGGACTTATTAACAATATTTGCAATGTGTCCTCTTTATGGATGAATAACATAGAAGACCCTATTTAGCATAATTGTTCTCACTCTCTGCTTTTGGACTGAGGCAAGCCCTGTTTCTAGAACAGCTTTTGTTGCAGATCATGAGATAAAACCACTTTTCCATTACATGTGAAGAACCAGTGGATCCCACTGGATAAATCAATTGTGAAGTCAAATAATTATTTTGCATTAACAATGCATAACTATTTTTCAGTTGCCTCTACAGCATGCATTCCCTCCTTCTAATAACAACAGAAAAAATTAATAAGGACATTCACCCTATTATGGGTTGAATTGTGTCCACAAAAAGATATGCTGAAGTCCTAACCCCCAATATCTGCAAATATTGCTTTATTTGGAAATAGGGTCTTTGCAGATACAATTAAATAAGGTATAATCAAGTAATTAGGTAGGCCCTAATCCAATATGACTAGTATCATTATAAGGAGAGGGAAATTTGGGCTGGACGTGGTGGCTTACGTCTGTAATCCCAGCACCTTGCAAGCCCAAGGTGGATGGATCACGAGGTCAGGAGATCGAGACAATCCTGGCCAACATGGTGAAACCCCATCTCTACTAAAAATACAAAAATTCGCTGGGCATGATGGGTGGTGCCTGTAATCCCAGCTACTCCAGAGGCTGAGGCAGGAGAATCACTTGAACCAGGGAGTCCGAGGTTGCAGTGAGCCAAGATGGTGCCACTACACTCCAACCTAGTGACAGAGTGAGACTCCATCTCATAAAAAAGAAGATGGAAATTTGGACACAGACACATGAAGGAGAAAGCCATATGATGAGAGAGGCAGAGATTGGAGTTAGGCAGCTACAAGCCAAAAAATGTCAAGGATTGCTGGCGGCACCTGAATTTAAGACAAAGGCATGCATTCTCCCCTAGAGGTTTTAACACAGCGGGCTGACACCTCGATTTTCTACTTCTAGCCTCCAGAACTGTGAGAGAATAAATTTCCATTTTAAGCCACACAGTTTGCAGCACTTTGTTATAGCATCTTCAGCAAACTTCTACACACACCTCATTGATTATCAGACAAATCCTTTAGGTAGAATAAAACTCATCAGTAGCTCAAGATGCAGTCTTTGATCAGCACAGTCTATATCCCTGGCCATATGATTACTTTAGGGATAAACATGTGACTCAGTAAGAGCCAACAGGACTTCAGGATATATTTGGGCTTCTAGGAAAGAAAAGACTCTTTCTTCCTTTTCCTGAGTTGCTTTCAAAACTGTCTTTTCTTATTGGTTGTGAGAAAGAATATTTTAGCACTGGAAACTGCTGGCAGCCATCTTACAACTGGAGAACCTCCCATACACTTGTGTCCAAGGTAACAAAGTGGAAGTATTGAGAAAAAGGAACTTCTTAATCCCGAGAGGACCCACAGACCCTCTGAAGGAAGTGGACTGCTCCAGTAGGACCTGAGAGAAACCCCAGATATGGTGAGTGCCCCAACTGTGGAAGTGGGAAAGGGAGAGCCTCCTCTCCTGAACACACACTCGCATTGGAGAAAATGAAGGTATGTTTGCAGGAGAAGTTTCCAACTTTACCTGGAGCGGAGTCAATTTAGAGAGCTGAGTGAAATACAGGGGTAGAGGAAGCAGCAGAAAGACCCTGGAAGCTTGCTGGGTCTCCAGGCAGGCCATTCCTGCCTGGCACCACAGGTATCCATTGGGAGGGCAACCAGAGGAGCACGGGGGAGACACTGCAGGGAGAAGAAAATCTCTAGCTGCATTTTGTAACAATTTGAACAGGGTGAGAAGCCTCTTGGCCAGAACTCGGGGGAGGGTGCAAATCCAGTGTGCAGACTCCACAGGCAGGGGAAGAGCCAACCCCTTTTCTTTCGCAGCTGGGAGGCAGGTAGCCTGGGGCAAGTTGTCAAGCCCTGCTTGCCTACTGCCTGGAAACAGACTCGGGACTGTTGAGGGGGCACCGTGGGAGTGAGACTGGCCCTTTGGTTTGCGTGGGAGCTAGGTGAGGCCTGTGACTGCCGGCTTTTCCCTGCTTCCCTGAAAACCTGCATGACTCAGCAGAGGCAGCGGTAATCCTCCTAGGTACACAACTCCATTGACCTGGGAACCTCACCCCCAGCCCCTACAGCAGCCACAGCAAGACCTACCCAAGGAGAGTCTGAGCTCAGACACGCCTAGCCTTGCCCCTACCTGATCATCCTTCCCTACCCACCCTGGTAGCTGAAGACAAAGGGCATATAATCTTGGGAGTTCTAGGGCCCCACCTGCCACTGGTTCCTCTCCATACTACCATAGCTGATGCTCTCTAGAAAGCGTGACCTCCTGGCAGGAGGCCAACCAGCACAAAAATAGAGCATTAAATCACCAAAGCTAAGAACCTTCATTGAGTCCATCGTAGCCACCTGCTATCTCCACTGGCACAGATACTGGTATCTATGGCTGAGAGACCCATAGAGGGTTCACATCACAGGACTCTGCACAGACAACCCTCAGTACTAGCCCAGAGCTGGGTAGATTTGCTGGGAGGCTAGACCCAGAAGAGAGACAACAATCACTGCAGTTCAACTCACAGGAAGCCACATCCATTAAAAAAAAAAAAAAGGTGGGGTGGGGAGAGTACTACATCAAGGGAACACCCCATGGGACAAAATAATCTGAACAACAGCCTTCATCCATAGAACTTCCCTCTGACACAGCCTACCCAAATGAGAAGGAACCAGAAAACCAACTCTGGTAATATGACAAAACAAGGCCCTTTAAAACCCTGAAAAATCATACTATTTCACCAGCAATGGATCCAAACCAAGAAGAAATCCCTGATTTACCTGAAAAAGAATTCAGGAGGTTAGTTTTTAAGCTAATCAGGAGGCACCAGAGGAAGGCAAGGCCCAATGCAAGGAAATCCATAATATGATACAAGAAGTGAAAGGAGAAATATTGAAGGAAACAGATAGCTTCAAGAAAACGCAATCAAAAATTTGGGAAACATTGGATACAGTTATAGCATTACAAAATCCTCTGGAAAGTCTCAGCAATTAAATTAAACAAGTAGAAGAAGGAAATTCAGAGCTCAAAGGCAAGGTCTTCAAATTAACCCAATCCAACAGAGACAAAGAATAGGAAAATATGATCAAAGCCTCCCGAGAGTCTGGGATTGTGTTAAATGACCAAACCTAAGAATAATTAGTGTTCCTGAGGAAGCAGAGAATTCTAAAAGCTTGGAAAACATATTTGGGGGAATAATCGAGGAAAACTTCCCTGGCCTTGCTAGAGATCTAGACATTCAAATACATGAAACACAAAGAACACCTGGGAAATTGATCACAAAAAGATAATCACCTAGGGACATTGTCATCAGGTTATCCAAAGTTAAGATGATGAAAAGAATCTTAAGAGCTGTGAGATAAAAGCACAAGGTAACCTATAAAGGAAAATCTATCAGATTAACAGCAGATTTCTCAGCAGAAACCCTAAAAGCCAGAAGGAAATGGGGCCCTATCTTCAACCTCCTCAAACAAAATAATTATCAGCCAAGAATTTTGTATCCGGTGAAACTAAGCATCATATATGAAGGAAAGATGCAGTCTTTTTCAGATGAACAAATGCTGAGAGAATTTGCCACTACTAAGCCACCACTTCAAGAACTGCTAAAAGGAGCTATAAATCTTGAAACAAATCCTAAAAACACATCAAAACAGAACCTCTTTAAAGCATAAATCACACAAGACCTATGAAACAAAAATACAAGATAAAAAGCAAAAGTACACAGGCAACAAATAGCATGATGAATGCAATGGTATCTCACATCTCAATATTAACATTGAATGTAAATGGCCTAAATGCTCCAGTTAAAAGAAGGGATAAGATCTCACCAATAAACCATCTTCTCCCTTCAGGAGACTCACCTAACACATTAGGACTCACATAAACTTAAAGTAAAGGGGTGGAAAAAGCCATTTCATACAAATAGACACCAAAACAAGCAGGGGTAGCTATTCTCATATCAGACAAAACAAACTTTAAAGCAACAGCAGTTAAAAGAGACAAAGAGGGACCTTATATAAAAATAAAAGGCCCTGTTCAACAGGAAAATATCACAATCTTAAACACATATGCACCTAACACTGGAGCTCCAAAATTTATAAACCAATTACTAATAGACATAAGAAATAAGAAAGACAGCAACAAAATAATAGTGGGGGACTTCAATACTCCACTGACAGCACTAGACAAGTCATCAAGACAGAAAGTCAGCAAAGAAACTATAGATTTAAACTATACCTTGGAACAAGTGAACTTAACAGATATATATAGAAGATTTCATCTAACAACCATAGACTACACATTCTACTCAACAGTGCATAGAACTTTCTCCAAGATAGACCATAAGATAGGCCATAAAATCAGCCTCAATAAGTTTAAGAAAATTGAAATTATATTATGCACTCTCTCAGGTCACAGTGGAATAAAACTGGAAATCAACTCTGAAAGGAACCTTCAAAACCATGCAAATACATGGAAGCTAAATAACCTGCTCCTGAATGAGCATTGGGTCAAAAACGAAATCAAGATGGAAATTAAAAACTTCTTCGAACTGAAAGACAATAATGACACACCTTACCAAAACCTCTGGGATACAGCAAAGGCGATGCTAAGAGGAAAGTTCATAGCCCTAAATATCTACATGAAAAAGACTGAAAGAGCACCAACTGACATTCTGAGGTCACAGCTCAAGGAACTAGAGAAACAAGAACAAACCAAACCCAAACCCAGCAGAAGAAAGGAAATAACCAAGATCAGAGCAGAACTAAATGAAATTTAAACAAAATAAAATACAAAAGATAAATGAAACAAAAATCTGGTTCTTTGAAGAGATAAAATTAATAGACCATTAGCAAGATTAACAAGAAAAGAGAGAAAATCAAAATAACCTCATTAAGAAACGAAACAGGATAAATTACAACTGATACCAATGAAATACAAGAGATCATTCAAGGCTACTATGAACACCTTTCCACGCATAAACTAGAAAACCTAGAAGAGATGGATAAATTCCTGGAAAAATAAACCCTTCTAGCTTAAATCAGGAAGAATTAGATACCCTGAATCGACCAAGAACAAGCAGTGAGATGGAAATGGAAATTTAAAAATTATCAGCAAGAAAGCATCCAGGAACAGACGGGTCCACAGCAGAATTCTACCAGACATTCAAAGAAGAATTGGTACCAATCCTTTTGACACTATTCCACAAGATATGGAAAGAAGGAACCCTCCCTAATTCGTTCTATGAAACCAGCATCAGCCTAATACCAAAACCAGGAAAGGACATAATCAAAAAAGAAAACTACATACTGATATCCTTGATGAACATATATACTAAAATCCTTAACAAAATATTAGCTAACTGAACCCAGCAACATATCAAAAAGGTAATCCACCATGATCAAGTGGGTTTCATACCAGGGATGCAGGGATGGCTTAACATATGCAAGTGAATAAATGTGATACACCACATAAAAAGAATAAAAAACAAAAATCATGTGATCATTGTATTAGTCTGTTTTCATGCTGCTGATAAAGGCATACCTGAGATTGGGAAGAAACAGAGGTTTAATTGGACTTACACTTCCACATGGCTGCGGAGGTCTCAGAATCAGGCTGGGAGGGGAAAGGCACTTCTTAAATGGCAGCAGCAAGAGAAAATGAGGAAGAAGCAAAAGTGGAAACACCTGATAAACCCAGCAGATCTCATGAGACTTATTCACTGTCACGAGATAGCACAGGAAAGACCAGTCCCCTTGATTCAATTACCTTCCCCTGGGTCTCTCCCACAACACATAGGAATTCTGAGAGATACAATTCAAGTTGAGATTCGGGTGGGGACAGAGTCAAACCCTATCATTCGATCCCTGGCCCCTCCAAATCTCATGTCCTTCCATTTTAAAACCAATCATGCCTTCCCAACAGTCCCATAAAGTCTTAATTCATTTCAACACTAACCCAAAAGTCCACAGCCCAAAATCTCATCTGAGATGAGGCAAGTCCCTTGCGCCTATGAGCCTGTAAAATCAAAAACAAGCTAGGTACTTCCTAGATACAATGGGGGTACAGGTATTGGGTAAATACAGCCATTCCAAATGGGAGATATTGGCCAAAACAAAGGGGTTACAGAGCCCATGCAAGTCCAAAATCCAACAGGACAGTGAGATTTTAAAGCTCCAAAATGATCTCCTTTGACTCCAGGTTTCATATCCAGGTTATATTGATGCAAGGGGTGGGTTCCCATGGTCTTGGGTAGCTCTGCCCCTGTGGCTTTGCAAGGAACAGCCTCCCTCCCGGCTGCTTTAAAGGGCTGGCATTGAATGTCTGTGGTTTTTCCAGGCCAACAGTGCAAGCTGTCAGTGGATCTACCATTCTGGGGTCTGGAGGATGGTGGCCCTCTTCTCACAGCTCCACTAGGCAGTGCCCCAGCAGGGACTCCATTTGGGGGTTCTTACCCCACATTTCCCTTCTTCACTGCCCTAGCAGAGGTTCTCCATGAGGGCCCCTCCCCTGCAGCATACTTTTGTCTGGGCATCCGGGCATTTCCATACATCTGAAATCTTGGCAGAGGTTCCCAAACCTCAATTCTTGACTTCTGGACACCCTCAGGCTCAACACCATGTGGAAGCTTCCAAGGCTTGGGGCTTGCACCCTCTGAAGCCACAGCCTGAGCTTTACATTGGCCCCTTTCAGCCATGGCTGGAGTGGCTGGGACACAGGACACCAAGTCCCTAGGCTGCACATAGCATGGGTACCTTGGGCCTGGCCCACAAAACCACTTTTTCCTCCTGGGCCTCTGGGCCTGTGATGGGAAGGGCTGCCATGAAGGTCTCTGACATGGCCTAGAGACATTTTCACCATGGTCTTGGGAATTAACATTAGCTTCCTTGCTGCTTAGGAAAATTTCTGCAGCCGATTTGAATTTCTCCCCAGAAAATGGGTTTTTCTTTTCTATTGCATAGTCAGGCTGCAAATTTTCCTACTTTTATGCTCTTTCCCTTATAAAACTGAATGCTTTTAACAGTACCCTCCCAAGTCACCTCTTGAATGATTTGCTGCTTAGAAATTTCTTCCACCAGATACCCTAAATCATCTTTCTTAAGTTCAAAGTTCCACACATCTCTAGGTCACGGGCAAAATGCTGCCAGTCTCTTTGCTAAAACATAACAAGAGTTACCTTTACTCCAGTTCCCAACAAGTTCCTCATCTCCATCTGAGACCACCTCAGCCTGGACCTAATTGTCCATATTGCTATCAGCATTTTAGGCAAAGCCATTCAACAAGTCTCCAGGAAGTTCCAAACTTTCTCACATTTTCTTGTCTTCTTCTGAGCCCTCCAAACAGTTCCAGCCTCTGCCTGTTACCCAGTTCCAAAGTTGCTTCCACATTTTTGGGTATCTTTTCAGCAACACCCCACTTCTGAAACCAATTTACTGTATTTGTCTGTTTTCAAACTGCTAATAAAGACATACCTGAGACTGGAAAGAAAAAGAGGTTTAATTGGACTTATAGTTCCACATGGCTGGGGAGGCCTCAGAATCATGGCACTTGATTTCATGGAAGTGAAAGGCACTTCTTACATGGCAGTGGCAACAGAAAATGAGGAAGAAGCAAAAGTGGAAACCCCTGATAAACCCATCATATCTCTTGAGACTTATTCACTATCATGAGAATAGCACAGGAAAGACCAGGCCCATGATTCAATTACCTCCCCCTGGGTCCCTCCCACAACAGGTGGGAATTCTGGGAGATACAATTCAAGTTGAGATGTGGGTAGGGACATAACCAAACCATATTAATCATATCAATAGATGCAGAAAAAGCATTCAACAAATTCCAGCATCACTTTATCATTAAAACTCTCAGCAAAATCAGCATACAAGGGACATACCTCAATGCAATAAAAGCCATCTATGAAAAACCCACAGCCAACATAATACTGAATGGGGAAAAGTTGAAAGCATTCCCTCTGCTAACTGGAACAAGACAAGGATGCCTACTCTTACCACTCCTCTTCAACATAGTACTGGAAGTCCTGGCCAGAACAATCAGACAAGAGAAAGAAATAAAGGGCATCCAAATCAGTAAAAAGGAAGTCAAGCTGTCACTGATTGCTGATGACATGATCATTTACCTTGAAAACCCTAAAGACTCCTCCAGAAAGCTCCTAGAACTGATAAAATAATTCAGCAAAGTTTCCGGATACGAGATTAATGTACACAAATCAGTCATTCTTCAATACACCAACAGTGACCAGGCAGAAATTCAAATCAAGAACTCAACCCCTTTCACAATAAGTGCAAAAAATAAAATAAAATACTTAGAAATAAACCTAACCAAGGAGTCAAAAGACCTCTACAAGGAAAACTACAAAACACTGCTGCAAGAAATCATAGATGACACAAACAAATGGAACACAAATGGAAAACCAAAGATCGTTATGTTCTCACTGATATGTGGGAGCTAAGCTATGAGGACCAAAGGCATAAGAATTATACAATGGACTGTGGGGACTTGGGAGGAAGAGTGGGGGAGGTGTGAGGGATAAAAGACTACAAATATGGTGCAGTGTATACTGCTTAGGTGATAGGTGCACCAAAATCTCACAAATCACCACTAAAGAATTTATCGTGTAACCAAATACCACCTGTATCCCAATAACTTATGGAAAAAATGAAATTAAATTAAAATTAAAATACCCTAAAAAAAAAAAAGAAACTTCTACTTGGATCAAATCATTTGTAAACTTTACCTGGAAGTTTCATTTCCATAAACCAATATATTCCTTTTATTATTTAAGCCAGTTATTTATTCATCCTATTTATCATTTATTATTATATTTTTATTACATATTATAGATATTATTGAAGGCTTTTCTGTTACTAGTACAGGAGCAATGATTTGAATCTTTAATCTCACTGGCCTCTGAAACACATCAGCTTAGTTCTAACCTATATTGGCAAAGACGTCCTTAGCGTTCCATTCAGCTTCACTAAAATTTAGACAGGCTTCTTCCCCTGACCTCCCTTTTCTTCTTAGAGCATTTGCTTTAGAAAACTTTCAGTTATAAATTTTTTCTCTTCCCCTTTGAGAAGTTAAGTCTTTTAAAACGTCGCTTTTACAACCCAGGAAGGACCTGGAGGCTCAAGGACCTGGACCTGCCTGTAAAATGTAACTTTTAAAGGTGATAGTGCTCCTCTCTCCTAGGCTGCATAAAGGCTAGGAGCCCAACTTCAGTAATGGACAATTAGCAAGCACAGTTGCCCTCATCACATGAGCCAGTCTCCCCACCAGTGTCCTTTAGTACTTTCCACCAGCTCACCCCAGTGCTTAAAGAACCCTCCTCCCTTTTGTTCCAGGGGAGTTGAGTTCAGTCTTCCTTATTGCTAGGGCCTTGAATAAAGTCTTCTTTGCCTGTTTAACTCCATAAAGTGCGATTTTTCTTTGATAATGTCTTAGGATCTCCTCCTCTCAACATTCTGCTTTAGAAAACCAGACATTACAGAAAATATTCAAGACTTTCATAATAAAACATGTTTAGTTAGTATACCTTTAGTCTGACATTTCCCTGAGAAGCACACAATCTCAGCTTGTTTCAGTGAGGTGAGTGGCTTCAGTCATTCACCCGGAGAAGGGGCCAGTGTTCCCAGAATAAGTAATGCCAGCAGCACTTTCCCACTGCACCTTGTTTGGTTGGGTTTTTTCCGGTTCATTCCATGCTCTAAATTTCCTTCTCTTGGCTTTGTCCCATGCCTTTTCCTTTTAGCCCCAAAGCATTTTCTCTCTCCCAGAGCCGGGTTTTCCATCCAAGCCAGACCACCTGAAGGTTTTTCCTTGTTTATAGAAAGATAATCAGCTACATCCTCTTACACTAAGGGAGCAGACTGCTTCAAACAGAAAATGTCTTTGAAATGGCTTGCTAAAGCAGCCCAGTTTCATTGTTAGGAAAGCATGCCAGGAAGCCAAACACTTTGGTCTATTTCATTCTGAAGTATTTCCCTTGAGTGGACACAAGGCTCTAGGTAAAATTCTCAGCTGAAAACCCTTTTTTAATTTGGCTTTATTTTGTTTTACAATACTAACATGTAACCAAATAAAAATTAGAAATCAGTCTTTCAATTCAAGTTTTGCCCACAGTGACACTGGTGATCACTATCACTGAGCAAGAATCTTGAGAAGAGATAATATAATTAACCTTTAACTTTCTTGTTTCCCCAGACCACATCCTTCCACCTGGTTATCTGTGTGTTTCTATTTTGACTTCCCATAATTATTCCAAGCTCCCATCCAGAGTTCAGAAGAACTTCCTTGAAAAAATCATCAGAAAAAATAATATAAGACAGATTCTCCTCCTCAGATCTAAGAAAACTCATTCTGAGATTGTGGATCGAATCAGATGCTTACTCTACTTCTCTCCTTGGGGGAATACTGCAGCAGATCAGCAACAGTGGCTTCCAGTGTCTCTCTTCTCTTTGTCTGCATATTGGAAGAGCTCAGTACCCCATGAGCTCTAACGAGTGAGCCACTAATGGGCTTTCTGAATGATGGCTACATGATCAGACTGTTGTTCAGAATAGTTTGGGCTGTACTGTGGAAAGGGCTAGGAAGGGACAGGAATAAACTAGGAAAATCAGTTAGTGGGGTTATGTTCAGCTCAAACACGGGATGAAGGTTGCAGTAATGGCAATGGTGGTACATGAGTAGATTTTAGAAATCTTCAGTCAGAAAAAATTACTAGAATTTGATGATTAATTGGAAGTAAATGGGAGGGTGTTAGGGAGTTGGAGATTTGAAGAATGGCACCCAGGTTTCTTGCTGGAGCAACAGAGTAGAAAATAACAGCTGACATTCACTGATATGTTGGATTTGTCTAGCATTGTTTTCACTAATACAACAAAATCTTGGGGTGGGTATGACTGTGAGAATTTAAAAGTGTCCATTGTTTTCAATGTGAACGAACTAAACCCAAGTAAAGGCTGGTAAGAATACAGCTACTAGAGAAGGATGGGTCATGCAAGATAAAGGAACAGGAGACAAGCAATAGGCCAGGCCCATGGTAGTCTGCTGGTTTCAGGGCACAAGTAGAGGAAGATCCTACCTAGGAAACAGGATACCTCATCCCTTATTTAAAAGGGGAAGGAGGATTGAAGGGGGAAGTTGTAGGAAGATTTCCATATTTGGTGGTGAATATTTTGGCCTAATGGTTTCTATTGCTTCTATCAAGAGGAAAGGCTATAGTCCCATTTCATCCCAAATGCCCCCTTGATTTTCCACATCAGTGGTTCTCAAACTTTTTTTGATATTGATGATCCCAAATAGCTTTTATTTATTTATGTGAGTTATATCTATCTGTATTTACCACATAAAAGATTAAAACTGAGACATTGAAAAACATTACTTTATTTAAAATAACAATAGTAAACCTGCTATGTGTTAACATACGAACATATTTTATGAAAAAAACTTTCCAAACGAAAAAATATTTAGTGACAAGAGTGCACTGTTTTACTTTTTTCTTTCTTTCTTTCTTTCTTTTGCAAAGCTTTTTTAATACTAGGCTTAATATAAAACAGCTGGATTCTCATATCTGCTCCTGCATTTAATCTGTTGCAGTATGCTGTTTTGGTTCAAATATATGAAGAAAACCCAGCCTTATACAGATAGCACAATTGGGAAAATAAACATTTTGCTAGCCTTACCAGATAACTGTAGATATTATTTGATATAACCAAAACTGGACAAATGGTAGATTCTGAAAGATTAGTTTCAATGAGGAATCTGAAATCATGTCAATGTACTTTCCATATTCTATTAAAATCCACTGATCTATCTGGCATCTAGTCCTGTTAGAATATATAAGGATAAGAATAAATTTAACTAAATGGTTACACTTTGATCAACACTGTCCAATTAGATTATGAAACTGAAGACACTGGCAGAGATGTAAACAAGATATCAATCTATAATAAAGCAGAAATTAGAGATAGCAGAACAAAGTATATATATCAGAATGAGAATGTGCAGAAGATCCCGGATATATTACAAGAGGTGGGAAGTAGTCCAAGATAGTGTAATGGGTTAAATTGTGTCTCCATAAAAAGATATGCTTAAGTCCTAAACCTGGCACCTGGGAATGTGGCCTTATTTGGAAATAGATTCTACAAGAATGGAATCAAATTCAGATGAGGTCCCACTATATAGAATGGGCTCCTAATCCAATAAGACTGGTGTCCTAGTAAGAAGAGGAAAATGCCATATGGAGAGTAACACACAGGGAGAACACCATATGAGAAGGAGAGATTGGAGTTATGCAGCTAGCTGCAAGCCAAAAAAAATGCTAAGGATTGATGGCTACCACCAAAAGGTAAGGAAGAATTTTACCCATAGTCTTAGAGGTAACAGGACCCTGTTAACACTCTAATTTCTGATTTTTGGCCTCCAGCACAGTAATAGAATAAACTTCTTTTGTTTTAAGCCACCCAGCTTGTGGTATTTTGTTAGGCAGCCCTAGGAAACAAATATAGATGGAGTAGTAGAATGTATTATGTTTTTAATAACTCACCCACCTCCTTGCCATAAAATCAATCCTACCTCACCTCCTATTTCCATTTGACTTTTAATACCTGTGGGAATGAATATACCTCATTGCTCCACAGGAGTTGAGACTGACCTCATGATTTGCTCTGGCTAATTCAATGGGAATGGAAGTGATGTACATTATATACTAGTAGAAGTTTCAAGAACCATTGGGTGTTTCTGTTAGGTCTCTTTCCTTCTGCCAGGAGAACAGAATGTTCCAGGTAGGGATCAGACCTTTAGCCGATGTATAGCTGAGATACAACCAGCCCACATGCCACATTAGCATCATTGAAATCATTATGGAGAGATTTGTAGTGGTTTCTTACTGCAACAAAACCTAGCAAAGCTAGGGTCTCAAATCAATTCAGACAAAAAGAATTCCTCTCCATCAAGGCTAGCATTTTTGCTAGCAGATTGACATCATAATCATTAAAATAATTCTATCTATGAAGGGTGCTCTAGACATTGGCATTTAACATCTCTTTTCACGATGCCCTGGTACTCAACTGCTTATTGCAAATTACCTCTGTTTCTTTATTGTATAAAATTCAATAATACTAACCTAGCTTACAGTTCTAGTAAACCTATTCATTTCCTATGTTACTGGTGTAATATTCTGATTCTATTTCTCACACAAATAGAGCCAAGACAGTGTTTAGTTCTCTTAGATATGGGTCGGGGATGGTGTGCACAGAGGTAACAGCTGAAAGTTATGAGAGGACCACAGGATAGCTATGTGATTTCACAGGCATATGATGGTGGCTACATTTCCTAACTTCATTTTTTTTTCTTTTGAGACCCAGTCTGGTGATATTGAATGTGGCACCATCCACAATTGCCATGGAGTAGAGTGGCACGATCTTGGCTCACTGCAACCTCCACCTCCCGGGTTCAAGTGACTCTCCTGCCTCAGCCTCCCAAGTAGCTGGGACTACAGGTCCCCACCACCATGCCCAGCTAATTTTTGTATTTTCAGTAGAGACAGAGTTTCACCATATTAGCCAGGATGGTCTTGAACTCCTGACCTTGTGATCCGCCTGCCTCGGCCTCCCAAAGTGCTGGGATTACAGGTGTGAGCCACCGCGCCCGGCCTTCCTAACTTCTTAGAACCTAAGTTCTCAAATTTGTAACAGAAAACTAATACTGCTTAATATTTGAGAAGAGGCACTAGGACCATGGAATGGATAGAGGTAGATTTTTAATATTATATTTTAAGCCCTATCCTAATAAGCTAAGCCAGTAAGTAGATTGGAAATAAACTTTAAGTACTCATGAGAAGATGGGTCATAGGATAATGTTTATGACTTCTGTTCACTCAACAAATATTTATTAAGAAATGTTATGGGCCAGCCATTCATCTAGGTGCTGAAGATACAGCTGTAAACAAAGCAAACAAAACCCCCGTCTTGGGGAACTCACATTCTTGAATAAGTCATTTGTAAGTGTATTTTGTCATGAGCTCTTGAGTGCAGATTGTAGTTGTTGTTAATTGGTACTGCTACTTTTTAAAAAGTATGTATAGACTATCTTTTCTAATGTAATTCTAAGGCTCCCATATTGCCTAATTTTTCAGTGGTATAATAACTGTAATTGGTATCAATACTAATTCAGAATTACATTAGCAGCACTGATTTTACAGTCCCCAAATGGATATAATCAACAAAGGAAAAGTGTTTACTAAACTTTAGTTAGTCTGAAGACATAGATGATATGTTACCATTTATATAATGACACACTTTACTTACAGACAATTTGAAAGAAATGTCACTCTCTTTATTCAAATGCTACAATAGTGCAATTAAAACAAGACATTTATCTTTGAATGTGTCTTCCCTATCACTACTAATTCACTGGGTCATTAGCTCCAACACTGTGAATAAGTTCTCACTACCCCATTCAATTTAATTAGTGTACCAGATAATATAGAAGAGCACACTTTGCACTGCAGCTAATAGTAGATAATGGCTCTCAGAAACAGAGCAATTGCCTTACTCTGTGATGGCTAAACAGGGGAAAAAAAAATATATATATATATATACACATACACACTTGACTTCATACAAAAATATCGAGATGCAGTTCTCTCATAAAAAGCAAAGATTATCATCTCCTTAGAAATTACAGATAATCTCAAATAGGGATAAGTCATTGACACACACATAAAGCAAGTATGTCAAAAGGAGCATTATTTATTATTTGTTGTGTTTTTGCTTTTGTTTTTGTTCAAATGCAGTAAGCAGACAGAGCATGGCATTAGCTGGCCTGGTGATCATTTTATATTTTTTGACAAAAGTTCAAATCCAAATACTTAAAGAATATGTTATAACACTGTCTTGTAGGCTGATACTCTGAAAATTTACCCTCAGATATGAAATTGAATCAATATTGAAATCATATCCTTAACAAAAAAGGAAGATGTGTTTCTCACAGTGACAGTGTTAGTTCCATACATTAAGAATTTAAGCTAACTCGTCTGTTTAATTCACTAACTCCTTTAATCTATCTGTAATCTGCATTTACAGGCAGTTATAGAAAATTGCCAGGATATGCTGAAAACAGAGAACTTTCACATTCAATAAACTTCAACTAAATACCAGCCATGTGCACACCAACCTCAACCCACCTGGTTCCTGCTCTACTCTGCAGTTAAGCACCAGCAATGTGTCAGACAGAATGCTGGTCTGTCTTGCACTAAGACTCCACCAAAGCCTCAAGTTAGTGAGACACAGATAAGGGGTATGGTGAAGAATTGGAAAATAGTTTGTTTATCCAAAAATTAGGCCTTGAAATCAACACAGGGTCTCATATTTGAACATTGCTTTTAGCACCATGTTAACACTGAATCATCAAATCAGAAATATGTCAAATCCTCTTAAAATGTCAGAAGGATTCTAGGCCAGAAATGCATGATTGATTCAAGGTATTGTGAGAGAATCAAAATCGTAAATTAATGCCTCAGATCAGATTCACATTAAATTAATGGTGCTATTAAATTAACGTCAAGCATTTCAGGAAGACGATCATATTGAATGTGCCACCATCCACCACTGCCTTCCTACAGCAGACTTTTAGAAAGCTTCATTTTATTTGAATTAAGGTATTAACACATCTTAAGCCAGGAGGCCTAGGATAGAGGAAAGAAAAAGGGTAAGAGAAGGTGAAGGGTCAGAAGTAAATGGTTACTTCCACACGTCTTAAGAGATTAGGAGGTCTCGGCTGGGCGCCGTGGCTCACGCCTGTAATCCCAGCACTGTGGGAGGCCGAGGCGGGCGGATCACAAGGTCAGGAGATCGATCGAGACCATCCTGGCTAACACAGTGAAACCCCATCTCTACCAAAAATACAAAAAATTAGCCGGGCGTGGTGAGGGGCGCCTGTAGTCCCAGCTACTCGCGAGACTGAGGCAGGAGAATAGCATGAATCCGGGAGGCGGGCTTGCAGTGAGCCGAGATCGCGCCACTGCACTCCAGCCTGGGCAACAGAGCGAGACTCCGTCTCAAAAAAAAAAAAAAAAAAAAAAGGATTAGGAGGTCTCAGAGTTTGGGATTCCATCTATAAGTCCACAATGCAACATAGATGTTTATTTGAGAGGGGAGGGTGGCAGAGGGGAGAGGGAGAAAAGATAACTATTGGGTACTGGGTTTAATATCTGAATGATGAAACAATCTCTACAACAAATCCCCGTGACAGTGACACGTATTTACCTATGTAACAAAACTTTGCATGTACCCTCAAACCTAAAATAAAAGTTAAAAAAAAAAAAAAAGAACTCAAATGAAATAGATTGGTGCTGGCAAGAACTGATTTTTTTTTTTAACTTTTAAGTTCAGTAGTACACGTACAGGTTTGTTACATGTTACTTGTGTCACGGGGGTTTGCTATACCGATTATTTCATCACCCAGGTGTTAAGCCTAGTACCCATTAGTTATTTTTTCTGATTCTGTCCCTCCTTCTACCCTGTATCCTCCACCCTCTGACAGGTCTCAGTGTCTGTTGTTCCATTCTATATGTCTATGTGTTCTCATTATTTAGCTCCCACTTATAAGTGAGACCATGTGGTATTCGGTTTTCTGAAGAACTGATTTTTATTTTCACCAAAAGGCTCAGTAGAGAGAGAACTTACACATTCAATAAATCTCTACTAAGTACCAGCCTATTGAATCAGAAGTGGAGCCAATTTCCATTTGGCCCCTTACGTGAGGAGTCATGTGCAAAAAGCTGAGCTGTCTGAGAGGGACCACACTTCCAGTTTATTCCAAAGCTATTTAGGCCACCTCATAGCTTGGTACTTTGGCCAGTTGTGTGACTAATCTGCCCATTGTCCAGCTCTGCCTACAGGATGGAAAAATGAATTTGACAGGCAGTCATAAATATCTGATTTGTATGATAGCTACCTTTCTTAGTTTAAATTAATAACTTGATATTCTGGCTTTTAGATCAGTCTTGTTTCTCAGCATGAAGTTGCAACATCCCCACATCTATCCACTCTGGTAAGACAAAGTTCTAGATCCTGCAAAGCCAATAGTAAAAAAATCCAGCCTGGGATAAATTTATCAATAAAATGCAACCTGGTGAGGACCTGCTTTGAATATCATGACTGCTAACACTCTGGCCACAGTTAATTAGACCAAGGATTGGCACTCAAATTGTACTGAGCTACAAAGGGCCTAAACACAAAAAGTGGGTAATAAAATATACAGTCAGTTAGATTTTTCTTAGAGAATTTCAATACAGCTTCAAAAACAGTCAGTGGCTACCAGCATAGGTGAAACATGACAATGGCCATACTGCCCAAGGTAATTTCTAGATTCAATGCCATCCTCATCAAGCTACCAATGACTTTCTTCACAGAATTGGAAAAAACTAAAGTTCATATGGAACCAAAAAAGAGCCCGCATTGCCAAGTCAGTCCTAAGCCAAAAGAACAAAGCTGGAGGCATCAGGCTACCTGACTTCAAACTATACTACAAGGCTACAGTAACCAAAACAGCATGGTACTGGTACCAAAACAGAGATATAGACCAATGGAACAGAACAGAGCCCTCAGAAATAACACCGCATATCTACAACCATCTGATCTTTGACAAACCTGACAAAAACAAGAAATGGGGAAAGGATTCCCTACTGAACAAATGATGCTGGGAAAACTGGCTAGCCATATATAGAAAGCTGAAACTGGATCCCTTCCTCACCCCTCATACAAAAATTAATTCAAGATGGATTAAAGACTTCAATGTTAGACCTAAAACCATAAAAACCCTAGAAGAAAACCTAGGCAATACCATTCAGGACATAGGCATGGGCAAGGACTTCATGTCTAAAACACCAAAAGCAATGACAACAAAAGCCAAAATTGACAAATGGGATCTAATTAAACTAAAGAGCTTCTGCACAGCAAAAGAAACTACCATCAGAGTGAACAGGCAACCTACAGAATGGGAGAAAATTTTTGCAACCTACTCATCTGACAAAGGGCTAATATCCAGAATCTACAATGAACTCAAACAAATTTACAGGAAAAAAACAAACAGCCCCATCAAAAAGTGGGAGAAGGATATGAACAGACACTTCTCAAAAGAAGACATTTATGCAGCCAAAAGACACATGAAAAAATGCTCATCATCACTGGCCATCAGAGAAATGCAAATCAAAACCACAATGAGATACCATCTCACACCAGTTAGAATGGCAATCATTAAAAAGTCAGGAAACAACAGGTGCTGGAGATGATGTGGAGAAATAGGAACACTTTTACACTGTTGGTGGGACTGTAAACTAGTTCAACCATTGTGGAAGTCAGTGTGGCGATTCCTCAGGGATCTAGAACTAGAAATACCATTTGACCCAGCCATCCCATTACTGGGTATATACCCAAAGGATTATAAATCATGCTGCTATAAAGACACATGCACACGTATGATTATTGCGGCACTATTCACAATAGCAAAGACTTGGAACCAACCCAAATGTCCAACAATGATAGACTGGATTAAGAAAATGTGGCACATATACACCATGGAATACTATGCAGTCATAAAAAATGATGAGTTCATGTCCTTTGTAGGGACATGGATGAAGCTGGAAACCATCATTCTCAGCAAACTATCGCAAGGACAAAAAACCGAACGCCGCATGTTCTCATTCATAGGTGGGAATTGAACAATGAGAACACAGGGACACAGGAAGGGGAACATCACACACTGGGGCCTGTTGTGGGGTGGGGGAAGGGGGAAGGGATAGCATTAGGAGATATACCTAATGTTAAATGACGAGTTAATGGGTGCAGCACACCAACATGGCACATGTATACATATGTAACAAACCTGCACGTTGTGCACGTGTACCCTAAAACTTAAAGTATAATAAAAAAAAAAAAGAAAGAGGAGAGATACAGGAAGAACAGAGTAGAAGACAGAAGCTAGGAAGCAATAGAGACAAATTGGCAGCAGAAGTTATCAGTAAGTAGAATCCATAAGTTAGAGAGGAGAGTTAAGAGATACTGTTCAGTAGTGACTGGCAGACAGAAGTGGCAGGGACACCATAGCATCGGCAAGGATGACTATAGTTGCTGGAGACTGCACAATACCCCAGTTCTCCTTTGGGCCTATCTTCACTTATAGAAACCATTCATTGCCTCCTTTACTTCTGTATCTATCCTTCCCAGAGAACACCACTAAATGAGATTGCTGAAAATGTTTTGTTCCTTGTAATGTGGAGGAGCCTAACATATTTTTAGAAATGCTGAGTTATAGACCTTCCCATATGAACAATTTTTTGATTTCCACAAGGCTGCTTTTTAAAAATCTATAAAATGGTTTCATATGTTTATGTGTTAAAGTCTTATCAAGAACCCGTTTTTGATTAAAAACTTCTTTAATATTTTTTCAACCAAGCCAATAAGCATATTTTTACGAGTGTATGACAAATAAATCAGAAAGTTCAGAACTGAATATCTCTCACAAATAGAAAATTATTGCTTGTCATATATTCTGAAAACAAAGCAAAATAATCCAACTGATTCATTTTCTAATCCATGAAATAGATGATACATGTATTTTGTCTCTGTTGATTTACTACAGTTTGTATTTTTTCCTGAGTTTCAGTGATTTGATTCAAGTAAAATCATTTAGCTTAATTTATTTGTCATTATATAAAACTGTTTTATTATCATTTCTGTTACCAGTTGAATCCCTTATCTCTAGATGAAGAATTCATTGTCCCTTAAATATTAAATAAAAATCTAATCTGTGCTTAGTCCTGCACTGACCACTCATTTCAACCCAAAGTGTAGGAAAAAAGTCTCTGCAATTCAGATAAAATTAATAAATAGAAAAAAAAGTTTGACCATTAGTTGTGGAGATAGGACAAATAGACACCTAAGAAATCGATTGAAGGCATTCTGGTAATACTAGGTAGTAGCATGGACCATATATAAAAGTATTTCTCCAATTGGTGAAGCTCTGTGACAATGCTGGTTTTATGGTGAAATAAAAAATTGGAGTAGGGAAGAGACTTCTGTGGACTAGATTTTGATTGGAAAGAGTTCTTGGTGAATATGAGCATTGGGTTGGGCCGTGCCTGGCTGGTGGGATTATAATAGCAGAGCAGAGGGGAGAACATCTCACGCTATGGGGCATGGAGTCAAGAAAAGTTTTATCCAGGTGCAGGGGTCAGAATGGAGGGGGCAGGGAAACAAAGCAAGCTCAACAGTGGGGCTCATTGGTGAGAGATCAAGAACACAACACTCAACTGATTTAACCCATAAGCATTCTGGACCTTAAGCAGAATATTGTCCTAATAAAAGTTATTTTAGGGAGATACTGCCAGCAGCAGGACTTGCCAGGAGACCACTGTAATGATCTTAATGTAACATAACTACCTACCAGAGTAGAGACAATTAGAATATTGAAAAGGACAAATTTAAAAACTATAATAAGTGATTGGGAATTAATACATTAGGAAATAGATGCAAAAAAAATAGAAATAAAGATTAATAAACCTCTTAAGCTTATCACATCAGAGTTTGAAAAACCAGGTGGGCAGTGAAGGAAAAGATGTGTTTGGGTAGGGAAACTGTGATTTTGAAATCATCAGCGAGCCAGCTGGTGGAACTGGACATAAGAGAGAACAACAGTGTGTCCTGACTTACCTAGTGGTAACAATCACATGAATTCAAAGCAATGTCCTGAATGGTATTGCCTAGGTTTTCTTCTAGGCTTTTTATGGTTTTAGGTCTAACATTTAAGTCTCTAATCCATCTTGAATTAATTTTTGTATAAGGTGTAAGGAAGGGATTCAGTTTCAGCTTTCTACATATGGCTAGTCAGTTTTCCTAGCACCATTTATTAAATAGGGAATATTTCCCCATTTCTTGTTTTTGCCAGCTTTGTCAAAGATCAGATAGTTGTAGATATGCGGCATTATTTCTGAGGGCTCTGTTCTGTTCCATTGGTCTATATCTCTGTTTTGATACCAGTACCATGTTGTTTTGGTTACTGTAGCCTTGTAGTA
This sequence comes from Homo sapiens, assembly GCF_000001405.40. Lineage (NCBI taxonomy): Eukaryota > Metazoa > Chordata > Mammalia > Primates > Hominidae > Homo > Homo sapiens. The sequence continues at coordinate 118,498,181 of NC_000005.10, forward strand.
TAGTTTGAAATCAGGTATCATGATGCCTCCAGCTTTGTTCTTTTGTCTTAGGATAGACTTGGCAATGAGGGCTCTTTTTTGGTTCCATAGGAACTTTAAAGTAGTTTTTTCCAATTCTGTGAAGAAAGTCATTGGTAGCTTAATGGGGATGGCATTGAATCTATAAATTACCTTGGGCAGTATGGCCATTTTCACAGTATTGATTCTTCCTACCCATGAGCATGGAATGTTCTTCCATTTGTTTGTATCCTCTTTTATTTCATTGAGCAGTGGTTTGTACTTCTCCTTGAAGAGGTCCTTCATGTCCCTTGTAAGTTGGATTCCCAGGTATTTTATTCTCTTTGAAGCAATTGTGAATGGGAGTTCACTCATGATTTGGCTCTCTGTTTGTCTGTTATTGGTGTATAAGAATGCTTGTCATTTTTGTACATTGATTTTGTATCCTGAGACTTTGCTGAAGTTGCCTATCAGCTTAAGGAGATTTTGAGCTGAGACGATGGGGTTTTCTAGATATACAATCAGGTCATCTGCAAACAGGGACAATTTGACTTCCTCTTTTCCTAATTGAATACCCTTTATTTCCTTCTCCCGTCTGATTGCCCTGGCCAGAACTTCCAACACTATGTTGAATAGGAGTGGTGAGAGAGGGCATCCCTGTCTTGTGCCAGTTTTCAAAGGGAATGCTTCCAGTTTTTGCCCATTCAGTATGATATTGGCTGTGGGTTTGTCATAGATAGCTCTTAATATTTTGAGATGCGTCCCATCAATACCTAATTTATTGAGAGTTTTTAGCAAAAAGGGTTGTTGAATTTTGTCAAAGGCCTTTTCTGTGTCTATTGAGATAATCATGTGGTTTTTGTCATTGCTTCTGTTTATATGCTGGATTACATTTATTGATTTACATATGTTGAACCAGCCTTGCATCCCAGGGATGAAGCCCACTTGATCATGGTGGATAAGCTTTTTGATGTGCTGCTGGATTCAGTTTGCCAGTATTTTATTGAGGATTTTTGCATCGATGTTCATCAAGGATATTGGTCTAAAATTCTCTTTTTTGGTTGTGTCTCTGCCAGGCTTTGGTATCAGGATGATGCTGGCCTCATGAAATGAGTGAGGGAGGATTCCCTCTTTTTCTATTGCTTGGAATAGTTTCAGAAGGAATGGCATCAGCTCCTCCTTGTACCTCTGGTAGAATTCGGCTGTGAATCCATCTGGTCTTGGACTTTTTTTGGTTGGTAAGCTATTAATTATTGCCTCAATTTCAGATCCTGTTATTGGTCTATTCAGAGATTCAATTTCTTCCTGGTTTAGTCTTGGGAGGGTGTATGTATGTGTCGAGGAATTTATCCATTTCTTCTAAGTTTTCTAGTTTCTTTGCATAGAGATGTTTATAGTATTCTCTGATTGTAGTTTGTATTTCTGTGGGATCAGTGGTGATATCCCCTTTATCATTTTTTATTGCATCTGTTTGATTCTTCTCTCTTTTCTTCTTTATTAGTCTTGCTAGCAGTCTATCAATTTTGTGGATCTTTTCAAAAAACTAGCTCTTGGATTCATTGATTTTTTGAAGGGTTTTTTGTGTCTCTATTTCCTTCAGTTCTGCTCTGATCTTACTTATTTCTTGCCTTCTCCTAGCTTTTGAATGTGTTTGCTCTTGCTTCCCTAGTTCTTTTAATTGTGTTGTTAGGGTGTCAATTTTAGATCTCTCCTGCTTTCTCTTGTGGGCATTTAGTGCTATAAATTTCCCTCTACACACTGCTTTGAATGTGTCCCAGAGATTCTGGTATGTTGTGTCTTTGTTCTCATTGGTTTCAAAGAACATCTTTATTTCTGCCTTCATTTCGTTATGTACCCAGTAGTCATTCAGGAGCAGGTTGTTCAGTTTCCATGCAGTTGAGCAGTTTTGAGTTAGTTTCCTAATCCTGAGTTCTAGTTTGATTGCACTGTGGTCTGAGAGACAGTTTGTTATAATTTCTGTTCTTTTACATTTGCTGAGGAGAGCTTTACTTCCAACTATGTGGTCAACTTTGGAATAGGTGTGGTGTGGTGCTGAAAAGAATGTATATTCTGTTGATTTGGGGTGGAGAGTTCTGTAGATGTCTATTAGGTCCACTTGGTGCAGAGCTGAGTTTAATTCCTGGATATCCTTGTTAAATTTCTGTCTCGTTGGTCTGTCTAATGTTGACAGTGGGGTGTTAAAGTCTCCCATTATTATTGTGTGGGAGTCTAAGTCTCTTTGTATGTCTCTAAGGACTTGCTTTATGAATCTGGGTGCTCCTGTATTGGGTGCATATATATTTAGGATAGTTAGCACTTCTTGTTGAATTGATCCCTTTACCACTATGTAATGGCCTTTGTCTCTTTTGATCTTTGTTGGTTTAAAGTCTGTTTTATCAGAGATTAGGATTGCAACCCCTTCCTTTTTTTGCTTTCCATTTGCTTGGTAGATCTTCCTCCATCCTTTTATTTTGAGCCTACGTGTGTCTCTGCACATGAGATGGGTTTCCTGAATACAGCACACTCACGGGTCTTGACTCTTTATCCAATTTGCCAGTCTGTGTCTTTTAATTGGAGCATTTAGCCCATTTACATTTAAGGTTAATATTGTTATGTGTGAATTTGATCCTGTCATTATGATGTTAGCTGGTGATTTTGCTCGTTAGTTGATGCAGTTTCTTCCTAGCCTCCATGGTCTTTACAATTTGGCATATTTTTGCAGTGGCTGGTACCGGTTGTTCCTTTCCATGTTTAGTGCTTCCTTCAGGAGCTCTTGTAAGGCAGGCCTCGTGGTGACAAAATCTCAGCATTTGCTTGTCTGTAAATAATTTTATTTCTCCTTCACTTATGAAGCTTAGTTTGGCTGGATATGAAATTCTGGGTTGAAAATTCTTTTCTTTAAGAATGTTGAATATTGGCCCCCACTCTCTTCTGGCTTGTAGAGTTTCTGCCGAGAGATCAGCTGTTAGTCTGATGGGCTTCCCTTTGTGGGTAACCTGCCCTTTCTCTCTCGCTGCCCTTAACATTTTTTCCTTCATTTCAACTTTGGTGAATCTGACAATTATGTGTCTTGGGGTTGCTCTTCTTGAGGAGTATGTTTGTGGTGTTCTCTGTATTTCCTGAATGTGAATGTTGGCCTGCCTTGCTAGATTGGGGAAGTTCTCCTGGATAATATCCTGCAGAGTGTTTTCCAACTTGGTTCCATTCTCCCCGTCACTTTCAGGTACACCAATCAGACGTAGATTTGGTCTTTTCACATAGTCTCATATTTCTTGGAGGCTTTGTTAGTTTCTTTTTACTCTTTTTTCTCCAAACTTCTCTTCTCACTTCATTTCATTCATTTGATCTTCCATCACTGATACCCTTTCTTCCAGTTGATCAAATCAGCTACTGAGGCTTGTGCATTCGTCACATAGTTCTCTTGCCGTGGTTTTCAGCTCCATCAGGTCCTTTAAGGACTTCTCTGCATTGGTTATTCTAGTTAGCCATTCATCTAATTTTTTTTCAAGGTTTTTAACTTCTTTGCCATGGGTTCGAACTTCCTCCTTTAGCTCGGAGTAGTTTGATTGTCTGAAGCCTTCTTCTCTCAACATGTCAAAGTCATTCTCCATCCAGCCTTGTTCCATTGCTGGTGAGGAGCTGCATTCCTTTGGAGGAGGAGAGGCACTCTGATTTTTAGAGTTTCCAGTTTTTCTGCTCTGTTTTTTCCCCATCTTTGTGGTTTTATCTACCTTTGGTCTTTGATAATGGTGATGCACAGATGGGGTTTCGGTGTGGATGTCCTTTCTGTTTGTTAGTTTTCCTTCTAACAGACAGGACCCTCAGCTGCAGGTCTGTTGGAGTTTGCTGGAGGTCCACTCCAGACCCTGTTTGCCTGGGTATCAGCAGTGGAAGCTGCAGAACAGCGGATATTGGTGAACAGCAAATGTTGCTGCCTGATCGCTCTTCTGGAAGTTTTGTCTCAGAGGAGTACCCGGCCGTGTGAGGTGTCAGTCTGCCCCTGCTGGGGGGTGTCCCAGTTGGGCTACTCGGGGGTCAGGGACCCACTTGAGGAGGCGGTCTGTCCATTCTCAGATCTCAAGCTGCATGCTGGGAGAAACACTACTCTCTTCAAAGCTGTCACACAGGGACATTTAAGTCTGCAGAGGTTTCTGCTGCCTTTTGTTTGGCTATGCCCTGCCCCCAGAGGTGGAGTCTACAGAGGCAGTCAGGCCACCTCGAGCTGCAGTGGGCTCCACCCAGTTCGAGCTTCCCAGCCGCTTTGTTTACTTACTCAAGCCTCGGCAATGGCTGGCGCCCCTCCCCCAGCCTCACTGCTGCCTTGCAGTTTGATCTCAGACTGCTGTGCTAGTAATGAGCAAGGCTCCGTGGGTGTAGGACCCTCCAAGCCATGTGCAGGATATAATCTCCTGGTGTGCCGTTTGCTAAGACCGTTGGAAAAGCTCAGTATTAGGGTGGGAGTGACCCGATTTTCCAGGTGCTGTCACCCCTTTCTTTGACTAGGAAAAGGAATTCCCTGACCCCTTGCACTTCCCAGGTGAGACAATGCCTCGCCCTGCTTCGGCTCATGCTCGGTGGGCTGCACCCACTGTCCTGCACGCACTGTCCAACACTCCCCAGTGAAATGAACCCGGTACCTCGGTTGGAAATGTAGAAATCACCGGTCTTCTGTGTCGCTCACGCTGGGAGCTGTAGACTGGAGCTGTTCCTGTTTGGCCATCTTGGCTCCACCCCCATTTGTGTGCTATTTATGGTAACTTGTGCTGATGACTCTGCGATGTGTATTCCAAACATATGTATGGAATAGTTCCATTTTTAAAAGTACTATTCAAACAGCATTGTCCTCACTCTCAAGTTTGTCATCTGAATTAAACTTTATTTAATCTAGTATGAAAACTCCTTGAGCTATAAAAAAGTATGACCTTTTTTGTTATAAAAGCTATAGTCACATCACAATAGGGCTATATAAATTAACAACCATATTTCAGAAGCACTTAAAGCATAAACATGAGCCCTTAAATATCTAAATAACTGGGGTCTTTTAATAATTCACTGTATCAAACCCTAAAAAAATTTGATTAATCCCAAGAAATCTTCTTCTGATTGAGTAAATCAAATAAATATTTTCACCATGAAAAAGATCATCCTACAATATCTATTTGTGAGAAGTTTAGTGCTTTAGATATTAGGGCCACTCTACTTAGGGAAAGATATATTTCTTTTTCTTTTTTTTTCCTTTTTTTTTATTTTTTTGAGACAGAGTTTCAGTCTTTTCACCCAGGCTGGAGTGCAGTGGCGCAATCTCGGCTCACTGCAACTTCTGCCTCCTGGGTTCAAGTTATTCTCCTGCCTCATCCTCCCAAGTAGCTGGGATTACAGGCATCCACCAACACACCCAGCTAATTTTTGTATTTTTAGTAGAGATGGGGTTTCACCATGTTCACCAAGCTGGTCTCAAACTCCTGACCTCAGTTGATCCACCCACCTCGGCCTCCCAAAGTGCTGGGATTACAGGCATGAGCCACCACACCTGGCCAGGGAAAGATATTTTTCTATCAGTAAAAACTATATTCAACAAAGAAATCCTACCCTTGTGACGTAGTTTGGATGTTTGTCCCCGCCCAAATGAATTGTAATCCTCAAAGCTGGAGGTGGGGCCAGGTAAGAGGTGTTTGGGTCATGGGGGTGGATCCCTCATGGCTTGGTGCAATAGTGAGTGAGTTCTCTGGAGATCTGGTCTTTTAAAAGTGTGTAGCACTTCTCCCCCCTCTCTCTCTTGCTCTTGCTCTGGCCATGTGAAGTGCCTGCTCACCCTTCACCTTCTGCCATGACTGTAAGCTTGCTGAAGCCTCCCCAGAAGCCAAGCTGATGCCAGCACTAAGCTTCCTGTAAAGCCTGTAGATCCATGAGCCAATTAAACCTCTTTCCTTTATAAATTACCCAGTCTCAGGTATTGCTAGCAATGCAAGAATGGCCTAACACACCATCAAAGGTTAATAAATCTGGCTCAATGCTTTGTTTCAAGTCCTCTATCAAAGTTAGAGTTGAGAAATCATCAATGTGTGTGGGTAATCTATGCTCCAATAAGTACTGAATCACAATATGGGGAAAGTTTGATCTTTAGACTAGCTTTAATTGGGGCTGTTAATTTATTGGTTTGGCCTGTTTTAGAGGGTGGTCTTAATATTGCCCACATGGTCTGGTTTCTCCTTGCTTTGGCAAGGAGCCTGTCTCCTGCTCAGCAAAGATGCCTGCTTTCCTGTAGACTTTTCCATCTAATAGTCTTCATTAGTTGAAGAACTATGGAAAGCCCTCAATCCTTCCTTATCCGGGCTCAACCAGCTGATCAGGACATTTTTCTTCTTGAGAATCACTGTAGCCATCCTCTTAGAACCCACGCTGAAATGCAGGGATGATCAGTTCTTGTATTGAGGCATTAAACTAGCACAAAGCAAATAGGAGGGAGAAGATTGGGAGTTGCAGCTCTATTCCTATCCCATTTTCTCACAGCAACTCAAGGAGGATCCAGACGGTTAGGATTTAAGACTTGGGAGAATTCCCCCTCTGTATGCTTCTTCCTTCACTGACTCCCTCTTCTCCCCACCTCTTCCACATAATCTTCTCTCAGCCTATCTATGAGCAACTGTCTCCTGATAAGCATCCTACCTCCTTCCTCCAGGAAACCCTACCCTGCTTCATTTGAGTAATATCAGCACTCGATTCCTAATTGTTTCTTGCAAATTCTGATGGCTTCAACCTCAGTTGGAAGTTCATGTAGATTTTATTCTGCTTGAAGCTTTTGCTGGCTCCAAAGAAGATGGATGAGCTCTGGTACTGTAAATGTGTAAAAGGAATCAGTATGTAGTCTGATTTTGTTTGATGCCCACTAATGGAATGGAAACTGAATACAAAAACAAAAATGGCCAGACCACATATAAAATAGAACACTCACCTGCAATCTGCAAAAATCAGCTCAGGAAACTAATCCATTATCTATAGTAACCAGCCAGGAAGTCAACCAACTATAAGTCAGACTTGTAGAAAATCAAACCACTATCTCTAGCAGCCAATTCAGGAAGCCAAACAATAACCCCAGTAATAGCCCAGAACTTGATTAAAAACTGACTGCTTCCCTAATTTTTGTTCTTGATTCCAACTTAGAATCAACCAGAGAAAGCCAAATAGGCACCCCCAACCAATTACATACGATCTCCACTTCTAGTTACCTGCCTACAGCTTCCCTCCCAACAACCTTCAGTCAGGGAATACCTGAGTCCTTCTCTTTTTTTTTCTTCTATAAAACTTTCCCACTCTTCTGCTGCCTTTTGTTTCTCTGCCAAGATGCAAGTGATGGTGGGTGACTCCCTAGTTACAGAAAGCTCTAAATAAATAGTCCTTGCTTGTTCTTATTTTTTCCCTAACTAAGGGCAAGCACATCTTATAAGCTCTAAATAAATAGTCCTTGCTTGTTCTTATTTTTTCCCTAAGGGCAAGCACATCTTATCCAAGTAGAAATTAATTAATTATTAATTAATTAATTATTCTAGGGATGCTCAATGTACTCGTCTCACATGAAGACAATATACTCCTCATATCTAGATCATTTTAAAGCAACTTCTTTAGAATCTTGAGAAATAACAGGCATCATTTTGCTAAAGGAATACTTGACTCTTACTTGTTTCTGCTTTTATGGCCAGGAGCCCACACATTAGCTGAGAATGGCTCTGTGCAAGTCAACCAGGATAGATGGCACAATCTCTCAAAAGATCCTTTAGGATCCTAAATAGGAAGGAGGGTGGTTCATATTTAATTCACATTTCTCTAATATGAAAGCAAAAAACTTTTTGAAAAGTCATACAAAAGTCATATAAAGGAAGGTAAAAAATCTGAAAGACAAGCATTTACCTAAAAGAGACTCTTCCACAAAAGATACTATTTATATCCAACCACTTTCATTATTATTGAATGCGGGAGCAATAAAAGGGTTCAAACATTTCAAGGGTTTCTATAATTTGCAGAAACCATTTGGCAACCCAAGAAACAAGAGACCAGAAGATTTACAAGACATTACTTGGTTCATTTACAGAATTAAATAAAAAACTGTAAATCTTTAAATTATTTAAATTATATGTGGAAGTAGGAGCCTCATATTAAGCATAAATTTTACCACCACTGTGACAGTGTCTGAAAAGTCGGCTGGAAGGGCCTGCAAATTACACATTTGCATAAGGAATAAAGGGCACTCCCAAGACCAAATGCACACAAAAATGTATCCTGGAAGAGAAAGCATGGGTCGCAGGCTTAACCCAATAGCAACACCCCAGTCACTGAAAGAGGAACAACAAGCTTACATTTTTAGCATAACAAAATTGTGTTTGCCCTCTACTGTAGCCCAAAAATGGAACTGAAAGAGTGGCAAGTTAATACAAAATAAGCTTTTTACACTCAAAAATTCCCAAGAGACTTTATGAGAATATGACTAGTACACTAGGGAGAAAGACCTCCTTGCCACTTCCTGATAGCCCAGTGCGGGCAGGGCCCTGCACATCATAAGTGCAGCCATGACAGCTAAGAAGCGGCCACAAGAGAAGGCATGGCCCTCCCCATTAGCAGTGGCAGCACAACTACAGCAGTCAGGTTCCCCAGGGACCCAGCACCAAGCATTTCCAGAGCAGCAGAGGGCAACCTGTTCTCTTTTTTTCTTTCTTTTCTTTTTCTTTTTTAAGACAAAGTCTCGCTCTGTCACTTAAACTGGAGTACAGTGGCATGATCTCGGCTCACTGCAACCTCCATCTCCTGGGTTCAAGCCATTCTCTTGCCTCAGCCTCCTGAGTAGCTGGGATTATAGGAACCTGCCACCATGCCCAGCTAATGTTTGCTCTTTTAGTAGAAATGGGGTTTCACCATGTTGGCCAGGCTGGCCTCCAACTCATGACCTCAGTCGATCTGCCTGCCTTGGCTTCCCAAAGTACTGGGATTACAGGCATGAGCCACCGTTCCTGGCCTGGCAGCCTATTCTCAAGTGACTGGAGGCAGTATCCTTGACAAGAGCATCATCACCCAAATCACCTGCATCCACATGAAGGGATGTACAGGGCTTTTCAGGTAGCAAAAGATAAGGAAGTGGGTTGGCCACATGCTCACATTGTTTAGAGGGATATGTGAGGAAGAATCATAGAAATAAACGCAGAAAACTTTGAGTGGGGTTAGAGGCCCCAAATCAAAGATGAAGATGAGAGCCAGAACAAGAGTACTTATTACTATTCATATGATCCCCATTTTTCTTCAAGGATGATAAGTGGTTTGGGGAACACGAGTTTCAGTTATATAATTTTATTTTCAGGGGTGCTATTTTGAAAATTTTTAAATAATAGGGTTTTTCTTTGTCTCTCCCCATTCTCTACCACCTTGAATCATGATATCTGGAAGCCTGTCTGCCATTATCACCCCAGAGAAAATTCCTTCCAGACTGGGAGAGAAAATAAAAGAAACCCTCTGTGGCAGGAAGAAAACAGGGAAGGAGAAGCCAAGCAGGAAAACACAGCCAGAGGCATGTGACCTACTTCCCAACTGAAGGTGAAAACCCTAGAAGACAGAGGTGATGGTGGGGTGGGGGGAACACAAGGACACTCAGGCAGTGGTTGGCCTCCTTTGGGAGGCCCAAGAAAACCTGCAAGCTTCTAGGAGCAGCCTGGCATGTGACTGGTGCCACATCCAGCATGGCACAGGAGTAAGGTGCCCTGGCAGAGAGGGATGAAAAAATAGATGAGCCTGAGGTTCTGCTCCCGGCTTTCCTCCACCTTCACATGGCTTCAAGGGATCATGGAGTTCTGCATATCTGGCGGACAGCATGCCCAGGCACTCAGAGACCTGCTGGATTGGCAGAGACATGGAGTCAGGACATGCTGAAGTAGGCAGGATTTCTTAATCAAAAGAAAATGACCAGATCGCAGATTTCAGCAATCAGTGACAACACCTATTTCTAGAACTCCAGGTGGTATGAGAGGCACTTCAGTGTACAACAGGCCTATCAGAACAGGGAGGATCCAGAGGATACCTGGCAGACAATGCAGTCCCCTGTCCCAATGATATGAAATGACAGAAGACCCTCCTCCTACATATAGCAACATGCCATCTTAGAAAGGAGCTGGAGGAGGGAGCAAAAATCTGAAAATGGAGCTTTTACCTGTAAGAGAATAACATACAAAAGAGATCATTAAGGAGACAAATACTTTTTTGGCACTTCAGAATTCCCCTCTTCCACCAACATTGACCCCACCCTACACATATACCTAAAGGGGACAAGCCTCATGAGAAAATTATATCAACTGCAGGAAAGGCATAGTTTTCACTTTATCTTCACATCCAAGTTGACCCCAAAAATTAGTATTCTAAAACTCCCTCAAAATGTTATATATCTTCAACATTATCATGTCTGTTTATGAGAGAAAATGTAATTGTCATGGAGGGGGAGAAGAAGCAAAGAGAAAGAAAGTTCATGAGACAAAGGGACTGGTCTGGAAATTCCCTGCTTGGTCTGAGGACTAGTCAGTGGACATGGGAGAAAGTTGAAGGAGAGGGCATGTAGAACCATGGGGAGAGAGCCACACCAAGATGGCTGAACACAGTCCAGCATGTCAAAGAGAGGACTAATGGTGTGAATGAAGAATACAATGGTACAGCAGGAGCCGTCAGCATTAATTATGACAAATCTATAACTGATGGAGATATTGGCATTTTCAGAATGTATCTCCAATGTTGTGATGCATCTGCTACTGTGCCTTCAAATGACAGCAAGAAAAATGGTGAGGCATTTTTTCCATACACTGCATACTAAGCTTTGAAATTCAGTATTATTTCAGAGTCATAAATTATTGACTCCTGTGGAGTTTGAGGCACATGAGTTGTATAAAAAATGGAATCATGACAGAAAGATCATTCTGATTCTAACTTATTACAGGTCTATATGGAGTTATTTACAATAAAGAAGGTGCTTGTTTCCAGTAAAAGCCTAAAGTTTTCTTAATGCCATTTTTCAATACTGCACTGGCTTCGATGTGGGACAGAGTAGAATTATAAAGAGTTTGTCTTTGGAGGGACACCACAGAGATCTGGAAGAGTTCTGCAAAAGATCCCCTCAAAATAGTCTGCCTAAGCTCCAACTGTTGTCTAATTATGCTTAAGTATTGATGTTTCTGAGTTTCCTAATCTAAACCTATGCAGAGTCCATTCTTTGATGGGCAGCAATTCTGAGTGTCTCAATAAATTGATGTGCAGATCTTCTGGAACAGTATTTGCATGAGGAGCTCCCAAAGGGAGTGTGAGTCAGGCAAACACCATTGTGCCAGAGACAAACTTCAGCCATGGGAGAAGATTGAGGATTCTGAGTGCAATCTGAGGTCCCTTGGGTTTGCCCTTCAGTCCAGCAGCAAGGGTCTATGGCAAGGAGGGAGAAATTGGAAATAAAAGTCAAAAGTCCTGTCTTGCTAAAAGCATTCAAATCAGAACTCATAAGAAACTGGCTAATTTTTTATTAGATGGTTTCTTTTATATAAAGATAAATAATTTTAATTATTTCTTTGTGATAACAGTTCCACAGAGAGGAGAAAAGCATTTTCTCCAAAATTGTTCCTGGAATTGTTGAAATTATGGAAACACAGCCTTGGCCCCCAAAACTCCAACACATCAGCAAACGGAGAACACCACAGGCCCCAGCAGAAGTGGCAAAGACGTGCAGGCTGGGTATGGATTCCTGACAGAGTCGGCAGTACACAGGGGAATTAGAGATATCCAGCAGAGGGGGCATCAGTACCCAGAGGTCAGTATGTGACCACTGTCTGGCCATGTTCATAAACACAACTGAAACATCTTGAGGACTTTAGATGTAACCAGTTGGGTAAGAGAAAGGACTTCACAGGAGATAGAACTCCTGAATTGGCAGAATGACACAAAAGCCACATAGTACAGGTTATTACCATTAATATTGTTAACGTCCATATATAAGATTAGGTAGGTGTAGTTGGGGAACATGAATTACATAGAAGTCCAAGGCAAATTTCCGTAATTATCCTGAGAGTCCCAGGGATTCTTAACCTGAGTCCAGGATCCCTAAACAATCTAGATAATATTTAGGGAACACTCATGTTTTTGTAAGAAAACCTACATGTTTTCAAAATTCTGTGTATGTGTCTTTATGGATATTTCTTCTGATGAAAATGTTCATAATTTTTATCAGATTATCAAATGGGACTCTGACCCCAAAAATGTTTAGAACCTGGAATATTTCCTGCAGCATCCCAAATAGATATCTCATTTCTTAGGACCCAGAGGAGAGAGAAAATGATCTTGTTTTTGTTTGGCAGGGCAGTGGGTGGGGGTTGGTCCACTCTGAGAGCTCTGGACTTGTTTTCAAAAATCTGTGATCAAGGATAACTTTGATCTTCGAAATATTTGCCCCTGCAATGCCAGAAACTCCCATCTAGGTAGTGGGGTCATATATTTCTCTCTTCTGTCCCCGACTTGCAGTACAGAGCTATGTTCAGTCTACCCAAAATAATCTCAACAGAGTCCAAAAGACAACCAATGCAAATTGCAAGAATATTAGCCATTTGCACATCATTTATTAGCCTTTCATTAGAATTTTTCTTTCACTGAAAATGGTGGAAACCAGGGCTGAGTGAAGACATTAAAATCAGGCTCTGTGTACTTACTGAGAAGCACAGTCTGGATAAGGAGCTAGGATACTGGGCGTGCTCTGATGGACATTCTTTATTGGCAAGGACACAGAATGGGAATTTTCAGTTTTGTGGTCACAGCACTTCAGCTGATAGCAGAGAACCATCCATGTTCCTGATGAGATGTATAGGTACTATCTACGTGCCTTGGGACTAAAAAGAAAAGAAAAAAGGCATAAGGGCATGGTTAAACAGATAAAAAAACAGACTTTTTTTTCTTCTTCTCATGACCATATTCTAGCTCTCTTCACCATTCAGTTGGGCTATTTTATATAAAGATAAATCCAATCAAATATTTAAGAATTACCAGTTGGTGACCTTAACTTCGCATCATTAACCTTGTAGGTGTTTCAGTTCTGCTGAGATAATTACCAGGAGAACAAGTTATAAATATAGGTTATTACTTCTGTAAGCAAAATCCACTGCAAAGGCAATTAGTTCTGAGACAAATTACCTAGGGAATCCACCAGATCCCTAAGGTCCTTCCATTATGTTCACTAGTCAATATTCTAACGTGAGCATTAAATCAAAAATTTACGTTGCCAGGGACTTCTCTCCTCAGAACTTTAAACAGTGTCTCAGAAATGCACTATGCACACTAAAACCTACATCAGAGATGGTAATAAAAGCCTAATCTCTTTAAAACAGGAAAAACAGAATTGGTCACTTCAAAAATTACCTTGTGATCTATGGTACTGGGATAATCCAGAGAATCTTTCTGACATACAGGGCCACAAGCGTACCAAAAAGGGGATTTTCAAAGGACATTTATTCTTGTTAAACTGTTTTAATGACAATAATTACTTATAATGGAGACACTTAACCACTAATGGTGGGATAATCTCAAGATATAACTGAACAGTTTTAGAAATTTAAGTCAAAATTAATCAATCTATCTAATTTTTATTAATGGAAGAAGAAAAAGTTCTCTGAAGACCACACTTTCTTATAAGGCTGTAAGTTTAAGGCAGCAGTATAATTAGAAAAAAAAAAAAGTTTATTAAAGGGCTAGCAATTATCCTCAAATTAAAACATTTACAGCCTAGAGCTGTAATTAGGGCAAAGGTAAAGGAGAGATTCACAAAGCAATCCTGGCTGCTTCTGACTGCTCCTTGGATGCTGTCTTTGCTAATTCATTATCTTGATTCCACTGTTAATTATGTGGCTCCCCAAGGCTTGATAATGACTCTTTTTCTTCTTTACCTTTCCTTCTATTTTATTCATTGCCTTATATGAGTTTAACAATTCTGATAGAGATTGAGCTAACATTGATTGATACCTTCTGAATGCTAAACTCTGTGCTAGGCATTTTTGAAGTTAACCGCAAATATAATATGCCTAATTTCATTGATTATTCCTTTCCACCAAACAGTTCCGCATAATATTCTAGGCTCTATCAAAAAACAATTCAGATGTGGTGCAGTAGGGAGATAACTGAAAGTGAAGGGGTAGGGTTCTTGTCCCAGCTCTGTCACTGATGAACTATGTGGTCGGGAACACGTCACTATATTTCTCACAGTTTTAGTAAATAAAGATCTTGAACTAGATCAAGAGCTGGAAACTGGTTGTCCACTGGACAAATCCAACATGCAGACATATTTGCTTGGCCTGCATAATGATTTAAAAATCTGGAAGATTATGTAAAACTCTAGATTTCTGTCTTACAAAAGTAGAATATCCAAGCCTGATTTATTTGATGGCAATAATTGACTGCAGCCAAGCAGCAGCTGCCCCTTTAGGAAAGGCCTATATTCTCCTGTTTCTTACAATCCCCAACATACCCTATTGTATTATAAGTATTCCCCTTTATTCATTTATTTTATAGGACTTACTTCTTAATCAGATGGCCAACTCTAGCAAAAAAATGCTCTGGTTTTACTTCTAAATGTAGCTTATAATTTACTATATTTCTGGCTTCCTCCCTATCTTAGTTCAGGACCATAAGCATATATTTGAAGTCTATCTCAAATTTTTCAGTATTAATTAAATTCATTTCTTTCTTTGAGCTACTCAAACCTTTCTAAATTCCGTTTGACAATTGACATCATAGCTAAACCCCCAAAACTTTAAAATCTTGTTTTTACTTTTCTCCATACTTGCAAATGATATATAAGCTTATATATTTATATATCATATATGTTTTCCATATTATAATTCTATTTATATAATCATATTTATTTAATCATATTTATATAAATATGATTATATAAAATATATACATATTATATGATGTATATTATGTATTTTATATAATATATATTTATAAATATACTTTATAAGTTTATATATTTATAATATATAATATAATACATATTACATATATTATAATTAATCATATATTATAATTGTATTATATATTATATATTATTACATACTATATCATATATTATATTAGTAATATATTATCTATTATGTATATATGAATAATATTGAATATATTATTAATTTATTACATATTATGTATAATTATATTATGTATAATATGTAATTATATATTATTAAATATATTTTTATATATTATATATCTTATATAATATATTATACATTATATATTATATATTTTATATAATATATCATATGTTATATATTATATGTAATATATGATACATTATATGTAATATATCATATACTATATATTATATATATAATTTATATTATATATATTATTATATGTTATATAATATGTAATAATATATATTATTATGATATATAATACATAATATATAATATGTTATAATATATGATACATAATATATAATATATTATAATATATGATACATTATATATAATATATTATAATATATGATACATTATATATTACATTATATATTATAATGTATATATATTATATATATAATATAATATATAATATACATACATATATGTATATTATATAATAATATATAATAATATACATACATATAATATATGTATATTATATAATAATATATAATAATATACATACATATAATATATGTATATTATATAATAATATATAATAATATACAATATATTATAATTAATAATTATAATTTATAATATATATTATAATATATAATACAACCATAGAACCATTAGAGTCCTTTATATTTAAATAAAAACAAATATAATTTATACTTCTGTAGTAGAGATATTAGGTGCTTTTCCAATATCCATTCACCCATTATACACCCAGAGGAATATTATATATTATAATATTAAACATAGAATATATACATATTAAGCAAATGATATAAACCCTTTCTCAGAAATTACAATTTTCATTCTTTTATACCTAGGTTGTTATAGTCAGAAAGAATAAAATAAAGAATATCTTAGAAAAGAATAAAGAGTATCTTAGTAGAAGAAAGGATATCTTAGAATATTCTTTCTAAGCCTCTCCATAACCAATTCATACATTGAAAATAAGAACATTTACATTCTTTATAAACCTAACAACTTAGTTCATCTCCTGAAGAGCAGTCATGGGTTTTAAAGATTGTCATAACAGAGACTAAAAATGACTCTCCATGAACCATTCACTCCTGCTTGCTTAGTTACAAAACTCTGACTTTATTTTGGGTGTCAAGGCAAGAAGCTGAAAAACTACACTTCTCAGATGCTCTTTTTTTACTTTAATTTTTTAATTGATACATAATAGATGTAGATATTTTCAGGGTACCTGTGATAATTTAATACACTCATGTAATATATATAAAGATCAATTCAGTAAAACTAAGATATCCATTACCTTAAAATTTATCTTTATGCTAGAAACAGTTGAATTATTTTCTTCTAGATATTTTGAAATACATAATAGATGGTTGTAAACTATTGTCACTCTACAGATCTATCAAACACTAAGTTTTATTTCTTCTACCAAACCGTATAATTGTACCCATTAATCAAACTCTCTTTTTCCTCTCCCCTCCCCGCACCCTTCCCATCCTCTGGTAATCACCAATCTACTCTTAATCTTCATGAAATCACTCTTTTAGCTCCCACATGTGAGTGAGAACATCTGATATTTGTCTTTCTGTGTTTGGCTTATTTCACTTAACATAATGACCTTCAGTTCCGTCCATGCTGCTGCTGCAAATTACAGGATTTTATTCTTTTTATGGCTGAATAATATTCCATTGTATATACATATAAACCACATTTTTTTTTACCCATTCATCCATTGATTGACACTTAGGTTGCCTCCATGTTTTGACTACCATAAACATGAGAGTACAGATAGTGCTTCAATATATTGATTTCCTTTCCTTTGAATATGTACCCAGTGATGAAATTGCTGGATCATATAGTAGTTCAATTTTTACTTTTCTGGAAAACCCCCATTTCATAGTGGCTGTGCTAATTTACACTTTTATCAATAGTGTATAAGGGTTCCCCTTTCTCCACAGCCTGTCTTTTGGATAAAAGCCATTTTAACTGGGGCGAGATGATATCTCATTGTAGTTTTGATTTGCATTTCTCTGATGATTAGTGATATGGAGCATTTTTTCATATACTTGTTTGTCATTTGAAATTCTTCTTTTTAAAAATGTCTCTTCTGGCCGGACACAGTGGTGGCCTGTAACCCTAGCATTTTGGGAGACCGAGGTGAGCAGATCACTTGAGGTCAGGAGTTCGAGACCAGCCTGGCCAACATGGTGAAACCTTGATTCTACTAAAAATACAAAAATTAGTCAGGCTTGGTGGCACCCACCTGTAATCCCACCTACTTGGGAGGCTGAGGCAGGAGAATCGATTGAACCCAGGAGAGAGAGGTTGCAGTGAGCCAAGATCGTGCCGCTGCACTCCAGCCTGGGTGACAGAGCAAGACTCCTTCTCAAAAATAAATAAATAAATAAATAAAAATATCTGTTCAGATATTTTTGACTACTTTCAAATAGGATTCTTTGTTTTCTTCTGTTGAGTTGTTTTAACTCCTTATATATTCTGGTTATTAATCTCTTGTCACATGGGTAGTTTGCAAATATTTTCTCCCTCCTGTGGACTGTCTCTTCACTTTGTTGATTGATTCCTTTGCTGTGCAGAAGCTTTTCAGCTTGACATAATCCCATTTGTCTATTTTTGCTTTGGTTAGTTGTCTGGGCTTTTGAGGTCTTACTCCAAAAAAATCTGCCCACGTTAATGCACTGGAGCATTTCTTCAGTGTTTTCTCCTAGTAGTTTCATTGTTTGGGGTCTTAAATTTAAGTCTTTAATGCATTTTGATTTGATTTTTATATATTCTGAGAGCTAGGGGTCCAGACTCACTCTTCTGTATATGGTTAGCCAGATTTCCCAGCACCATTTATTGAATAGCCTGTCCTTTGGCCCTATTGTATGTTCTTGGCATCTTGAAATTGAGTTGGCTATAAATGTATGGATTTGTATCTGGGTTTTCTAATCTATTCCATTGGTCTGGTCTGTGTGTCTGTTTTTATGCCAGTACCAGGCTGATTTGGTTACTATAGCTTAGTATTATATTTTGAAGTCAGGTAGTATGATGCCTCCACTTTACTGTTTTTGCTCAAGATTGCCTTAACTATTCAGGGTCTTTTGTGGTTCCATATAATTCTTTTGTTTTTCCTATTTCTATGAAGGATGTCATTAGTATTTTGATAGGGATTGCATTGACTCTGTAAGTTGCTTTGGTTTGTATTGTCATTTTAACAATATTAATTTGACTTCCTTCTTTACAATTTGGATGCCCTTTATTTCTTTCTATTTCCTAATTGCTCTGGTTAGGACTTCGGGTATTACATTGAATAAAAGTGGTGCAAGTGGGCATGCTTATCTCACTCCAGAACTTAGAGGAAAAGCTTTCCATTTTCCCCTTTTTGGTACTATGTTAGCTGTGGGTTTGTCACATGTGGTCTTTATTATTCTGAGGTACGTTTTTTCTATACCTAGTTTGTTGAGGATTTTTGTTCATAAGGCGATGTTGAAATTTATCAAATGCTTTTTAGCATCTATTGAAATGATCATATGGTTTTTGTTTTTGGTTCTGTTAATGTAATGTGTTACAGTTATTGATTTGCATATGTTGAATTATTCTTGTATTTCTGGGCTGAATACCACTTGATCATCGTGAATGATGTTTTTAATGTTGTATCAGTCTGTTTCTTTGTTTTGTTTTGTTGCATTGCAATAAAGAAATACCTAAAGCTGGGTCATTTATAAGGTAAAAGATTAATTGGATTATGGTTCTGCCGGCTGTACAGGAAGTATGGCACTGGCATCTGCTCCTGGTGAGGGCCTCAGGAAGCTTCCGGTCATGGTGGAAGGCAAAGAGGGAGCAGGTGCCTCACATGGCAAGAGTGGGAGTGAGAGAGAAAAGTGGGAGATCCCTGACTGTTTTTAACAACCAGATATTGAGAGAACTAACTGAGCAAGAACTTACTCCTCACCAGAGTGAGGGCACTAAGCCATTCAGGAAGAATCCACCCTATGATCAATACCTCCCACTATACCCCGCCTCCAACAATAGAGGTCACATTTCACCATGAGATTTGGGGGGAACACATGTCCAAACATTATCAAATGTGTTGCTGGATTTGGATTGCTAGTATTTTGTTGAGGATTTGTGCATCTGTGTTCATCAATGATACTGACCTGTAGTTTTCTTTTTTTGTTGCATCTGTGTCTGGTTTTGGTATCAGGGTAATGCTCACCTTGTAGAATGATTTTGGAAATATTCCGTCCTCTTCAATTTTTTGGAAGAGTTGAGTAGAATTGGTATTAGTTCTTTAAATGCTTGATAGAATTCATCAGTGAAGCCATCGGATCCTAGGCTTTTCTTTGATGGGAGTTTTTTTTGTTATGGTTTTGATCTTGTTGCTTATTTTTTTGTTGTTACTGTTGCTGAAGTTTTCTACTCCTTTATGTTTCAATCTTAGTAAGCTGTATGTTTACCAGAATTTACCCATTTCTTCCAGGTTTTCCAGTCTGTGGGTGTACAGTTCTTCATAATAGTCTCTAATGGTTCTTTGTATTTCTGTGGTCTGAGTTATTATGTTTCCTTTTTCTTCTCTGATTTTACTTATTTGGGTAATCTCTCTTTTTTTAATTAATCTAGCTAAAGGTTTGTCAATTTTGTTTATCTTTTCAAAAGAACAAAACTGAGACTAAAAAACACAATCTAGCATATCAACAAAAAAGTTGTATTTTTTTTTAAAGATAAACAAAATTGACAAATCTTTAGCTAGACTAAACAAAGGTAGACTCTCGTCTCTACCTGGCCCATCTTCCTAGTACAGGTTGAGCATCCCTAATTTGAAATCCTATATCTGAAATGCTTCAAAATCTGAAATACTCCTAAATCCAAAATGTTTTGAGTGCCAACATGATGCCACAAGTAGAAAAGTCAACACCTGACCTCATGTGATAAATGCACAAAATTATTTAAAATATTGAATAAAATTACCTTCAGGCTTTGTGTATAAGATATATATGAAACATAAATGAATTTTGTGTTTAGACTTGGGACTCAACCACAGATATCCATTCTATGTATATATATGCAAATATTCCAAAACGCAAACATTCAAAAAATCCTTCTTATTTTCTCTATTCAAATCACAATGACCATCCTTTTCTCAAAACTCTTTATATTTCATATTGTCTATTAAGACTTTCTCCATTAAGAATATCAAGCCCTTGCCACCCCACTTACCCAGGAACCCCTCTGCCCCTCATATTGCAAGCTTCTTTCCTAGCTTTGTTATCACTGGGGCTGAAATGTTTTACATAATGGATCAGAATCAAAAAGCAGAGAAGACCTTGGTATAGGGCAAGAGAAAGAGGTGGAAGCAATCAGGAAAGAGGTCAGGGAATGAAGAAGACTTCAGTTGCTTCTCAATTCACTGTAAGGAGTTTTGTTTTGTTTTGTTTTAACCCATGAAGACTCTTTATGCACTCAGGATCGAAAAAAAAACCATAAAGAGGAAGAATTTGAGGAAAGATCATTCCAATTAAAACAGTCTAACTAGGATTAAAAGAGGCACTTTTAACACATGGAGTAGAATGGAAACTGCCCCTACAGGGCATTTTTAGTATTCCTATAAGGTTTAAAGTTGTCCTTCAGTCCGGTACATAGATTGAATCTCGGCTCAACTCCCAGAACCAACACCCATTCTCACAAAGTCCATGGTCTATAGGAGAATATCCTTAGGCCTGTCTTTGCTCATCTTATCACCAGAGTCTTAAGAGTTTACTGAGCTCAATATGCTTTCTTTAAGTCCTACTTCTCAGGTCATCTTTAGTTTCTCAGAAAACCACGAAATGCTTACCTATAGGCAATAAGAACAATGTGGCTGCCTTGCCTTTAACTTCTTCTCGGCCCTGCCTGCCATTCTGATCCCATTATAATAAAATCTATTACAGAAATCCCTTTCAGCATCTCTTATATTTAAAAGCAGTTACTGTGTTGCCTGCCAGCCAAGTAGAATGTCATAAAGGCCACTATCAAAGAAGGTAAAATGATAAAACAACATCCACAATAGAAAAGGAAAAACTAATGAGCCACTGACCTTAATACATTTATGTATCCCAGGGTTAGTTACGTGAAAATCCTTGAAACTTCTTTGAGTTATTAAAGAGACAATTTATTGGTTGAGTCATTAAGCCTTTTTAAAATACTCTTGGGGGGCAACATAGTTACTATGTCTTGGAATTTTATCCAGATTGCAAAAGAGCATCAGGGTTGAATATGAAATATCAGGATGTCTCAATAGGGATAAACCCAGCACAGAAAATATGAAGGTGGGGATGGTCAGAGAACCAGGCCACAGGTGGTATCAAGCAGGCTGTCAGCAAGTAGCCAAGCCCAGCCATGTTTTTTTGAAACTCTCAGCCAAGACTCTAATCACTGGCAGGGTGCATTAGTTAAGCCTTTTGCAAAATTGAAGATACATAAAATTCAATGCAAATTTGTTTAAGCAAAGTAGAAAATAAACTGGCTCGGAGTTGGCTTAAGACATGGCTGCATGAAAGGACCCAAATGATGTTACCAAATATTCTCCATCTGTCCTCCTCTGCTTGGCTCTACTCTCCTCTGTATATTGGCTTCATTTTTTAACAGTTACCTTCAATGTCACAGAAATGGTTGCTGAAGCTCTAGATCATGCAGCTTCTTCTATCTTAGCCTGCATAAACTAAAGCACGGGTTTCTTGGTAGATCCTACAAAAGTGCTCTCCTTCTGACTCTGATAGAACCTGCCTGTGTCACATGCCTAGCCTTAAACCAATGACAAGGGCTTGTGAAACATGAATGACAGAACTGGGTCATGTGTTCCATCCCTGCAAGTGGGGAAGGCATGGGATGCAGTTACTGAAGAAGGCAAAGTGGGTAAGTGACACCTATAAATACTCCTGGGCCCCAGTGCTGGGAGAGTGAGTATATGGACAAAAAAAAAAAAAAAAGATAGGAGCACCCAGAAGAGCAGAAGACAAAAATCATTTTGTCAAAATTTTCCACAAGATTGAAGCCTAGTTATTACAATAGTGACAAAAAGTCAACAGCAGAGTAACAGCAAGAAGTGATTTAGGTAAAACTCCAAAACTCCATGATGTAAAGGTCAGGATCTGTCTTAGTTTCTCGTAAAGGTATGGTCATGTACCCGATTTATGGCAAGAGGAGCACTTCAGAGGCAGGCCTTATATTCTTCTGCTGAAGACTCAAACTGGGTCCCAAGTAAGAAAGATTAGCTTCATCCAGTTTACTTAAATTTCTTGTCAATGAATATGAGGACACAGTGCCCAGCCATTCAGTTTTTATGACCCATGGAAAAGTCATTCTGAAGAAAGCAATGGTTCCATGCAAGTTCATGAAATTGTAAAATCTTTGCAAATTCTGCCCAAACTACAAGATAATGAATAAACAAATTAAACCAAGCATAGGAGAGCAACTGAATGCCTCAATTTGGATTCTGAATGTGTGTCTTATCCCAATTCCTACCCAAAGATGCAAATCAAAAGCTTGAGAGAAAAGGGCACTCAGTAACTGGCCTTGTGTGTGTCAGCTGGGGGCTGTCTAATAGATGATGACAGCCTAACCCCCCTCCTGGACAGCATCATGACAGGTCTGGATACTTGAAATCATCAGCTTCCAGAGGTGAGGCTCCAAGCAGCTATTGCCAGGCATGAGCAAAACACAGACTCATGTGCAGCAAGCAGCATGCTACACCCCAAGAGCGTCAACTGAATGGGACAGGGAAGGGGGTGAGTTGTGTTCAGATCCTGATTCCCACACTAAGCTCGAATCTATCATAAGCAAGTACATACTTACTGCCAGCAGAGCTTTCAAGAGCGCTGTCAGAGAGTTTTGTTTTCCAGAGCTCTTCCCACCTGGACCTTCTGTCCTTGTTGGAACAGATTCTCTAACTCTCCATGGGATAAGGCAGGTCCTTATTCCAACCAGTCACAGCTGATTGCACTTCATCCCACAGTTCTACATGGAATATCTGAATAACAAACTTATGTTTAATTTAGTATTCTCATTCTAACTAGATTTGGTTTTATATACCTAGATTGGTTTGAAAAATAGAGTAGTCTTACCTTAAATCTGAGTATGATCTAAGAATGTGCTAACATTCCTTGTCCAAATATCAATTTCCTGCCATGCTTAAAGTTGGATCTGTTTCCAAAATCCCTTGTAAATTTAAATTATTTAGTACATTTATTGATTAAAACATTAAAGCATGTATTGACATTTAATATGAATGAGTTTACGTGTTATACCACCAAATAGGTAGCATATTCATTCAAGAGAGAAACAGAAAATTAAATAACTTTTGCACCTGCACAGCACTTGGAGAAGGGCCAGTGACTTTCCTTACTCCTTACCTGAACCCATGTGACCACCATCTGCATTCTCTGCTTTATTCTGGGTTCTGGAATCAATCTCCTTCTTAGACAGGGTAACTGTTGTAAGCTACGCAGGCCAGTACTGAAGGGTCAGCATCAAATCACACTTGCTGTTAGTCCCACTCCAACCCAATCAAGTAAGCAGCCTTCCAAAAACTATACCCAGGCTGGATCCCATACCCCTGACTGAATCTCTAGGTAAGCAATATGTCCTATGCCTTGATTCCTCTAGACTAGAAGCCCTGTCCTCTTCTTGCCAGTCACTTCCCCAGTTCCTGGGGACTCAGTTTTTCTACCATAAATCAGACCTCCTTGCAGCTCTTCAAATGCTTCCTCCCAGACACCTCATTGTTTGCTCCACCTCTCTGTCAGTATAATCTTCTTACCTCTTTTAGACAGCCCGATGCCTCTGACTTGCTAAGAAACCACTTGCATCCACTTACCAATTACAATATGCTATAGGATATGTTTCATCCACCTGGTTTACCTTTCTTGCTCCCCTAAAGGGTGGCCAGGGCCTGCCCTACCTATGGCTGTGAACTCTGCCTTTCCTGGCCACTTCACTACATACAGCTCATTTTGTATATAGCAGGTACTCACCAATGGCATTTGTTTGTTTTGTTTTGGTATCTTGAAATAATTAGTTGAAAATGAGAAAATGGTCATCTCATTCTTAGCCCGAATGTGCAGTATTTCCAAATACCTGAAGCCAAGCATTATTTTCCTTTTCAGACAACAGAAAAACATATTAGTTAATTTCTTGTGCCAACACTAAATTTTCCCATCATGCAGATCAGCATTCTTAAGCTTTGCCACTGAAAAAGCCTTTGCTTCAGAGGACATTATTCCTGTGTCAGACTTGCTTCCCGACATGCTGAAAGTCCCTTTGAATTCAAATGTTTTATCCTAAAAATAAAGATTTAGTTTCTACCTCATAATATATACTTTTTTGCATTTTAAAATACTTAATTACTTACCCTCAAGTAGAGTTGTAGCTACTTCAAGAATGTGGATTCCATTTATTCTGTGGTTTCATACATCCCTTCATACATATTTCTGTTTCCACAGCATGTACTCATGCCTTAGGCTGATAATCCCTGTAGAATGAGATTAATATTCTTTTCAGAAGAAAATCTTATGATCTATTGGAATGAACATAAATATAATTGACAAAGTCTGCCTCCTTTTGCCTCCTTAAAAAAAATAGCATATTTTCTCTTACTCCATGTCCTCTATGAAACAGGACAGTTATATTTCCCTAAGAATGCTATGAAGTTGAAAAGCTTCCTTCTGTTGAAGTTTCTAAAGGAAAATAGCTATTCTTGGCTACCTCAAATAAAATGAAATATGTGATGTTATTTTTATTCCTAACTTTACTGAAAACGCATTAAATCCATGTACTAATTTTGGACCTACATCCCTATCTATAATTAGTAGTAGTAATATCAATACAGGCTTTTTAAAGCTTTTTAAAAATATTTAATCTTTGGCTCCTACCTTACAGAGGAAAAAAATTTAAACATGATATATTTGAAGTAAAAGTCAACTTTACTGACAGATTAAAACACTTTTTGAAGCCCATTAATTAGAAAATTTTTATGTCAATTAAGATCTTTGAACAGATAATATAGTCCAAAAATGTTACTTTAATGGGAATTTGATGAACCTTTACACAGAAGACTTAAAACAAAACAAATGTCAATTGCTCTGGGAGTGTAGTTCTTTAAAAATGAATAGACAATTTCTATTACACAGTAAAGTTTTACAAAACTGTAGCATGAAAAGAAGTATTACAATTTGGTGGAGTGGGAAGAAAGGCAGGCTAGCAATCAGAATGTCACATTTCACAATTCAAGAGATCATAGTCCTGGAGATTCCTCCAGTCCTTGTTGGCCTTACCATGTCCTTGAGCACTGGATATAACCCTCTTTGCAGGAAAAGGAGAAGAGAGAAAAAAAGGCCTCTTTGAAAAGCAGTAGTAAAGGAGTCCCTGGAGTATTTCTGAGCTCTTGAAACAAGCTTCATGGCAACAGCTTGATTCTGCTTCGTGCTTCGGTGAAGGATGCTGAAATAGGAATTGGGAGTGAAGCACTGAACTATTTGCAAGTTCATGTTAAAATATGATTTCCCGGTTCAAGAATAAAATTGATTCAGAATTAAATCAAAATAGTGATTTAAAGGTTCCCTACAAAAGAACTCGGTGCATTAAATAAGCACCAACCACCTTTGTTCTTACAAGTAGTCTCATGCAGGAAGATGTAGAGAAGATTCCATCATCTCCAATGTTGGAGAGAGAAAAATGTCTGCAGAATACAGTATCTCACCAATGGTCATAATACCGATGTCATTAAAAGTTACATATGGAAATTTCTTCTCAGGTCAGTATCCAATCATCCATATTATACCACTTACAGTTTATTTTTAAATTTTAATAAATCAGTATAATGCCTTCTTTACTGTTATAAAATTCCTTTCTCATTCCAAAGTACATACCCTAAAAACAAACAAGCCTGAAAAACAGACAATGGGGTGAGTGGCGGGGGGGGAATGTATAATGTATAAAATAGTATAAATTTCTTTGTGTCAAATATTTCATACAGATACTACCTGTATCTGTCTTTAGGCACTTTTAATGTGTGGCTCTGTGTTCTCTTATTCACTTCTCAGTTCCCATCAATTGTAAGACACAGCAACTTAACAACACCTTTTGGGGGAATGGATACACAATTAAATTTAAAACTAACTGATAAATACTAAACAACTAGTAACCCTTTTATTCTTCAGTATCAAGATCAGTTCGATCAGTAATAAAACTCCTAATGTGAAAATGAACAGAAAACCATTCATAAAGAGCAGTGTGGATATTTTATATATAAATTAGCTCTGTCTCACTTATAATAAAAATAAATCTAGAAGATGCGTTTTACATTTAAAAAGTCAGTTTGAGTAGAAATGCCCTTCCATTTCAAAAGTCTAAAGATTCTTCATCATCACTTTTGGCCATCATACCATCATGATGCCACACTTTTTAAGCCATACTTTCAAATCTTTTTCTATATAGCAACTTTAGTATTGATAGTATAATTCCAAGTGTTTACTCTGCGCTTCTTATGTGATCACAATTGTTGGGTTTTTTTAATTTCCTTATTGAATTAGTTACTAAAAGTCAAACAACTTCTCTTGACTGTCACCTGGAAGCTGATGATGATGGTGGATATTCAGTGACAGCTCTTCATAAAATATGAATTGTTCCTGAAAACTGTCCTAGCTTGTGATTAAAAAAAAAAAAGAAGAAGCTTTATCCACAAGTGGTAATTTCCACCACCTAATTCTATTGCCTGGGATTGGACAGTCATCTGCATTCATGTTCTTATTCAGTGCTACACCATGGTATGACATTTTCAAAGGTATTTACATGGCACATGGTGTTATAAGTACCAGTAACATAGCTGAGGGACCATAAAATTAACTGATACCTTCTGTGCATGAAAAAGTTCATATATTCACAGAAAATGTGCCCTAAGTTTTAGTCCTCTTATTGTTAGCTAGGTAATTTATTTTGATATTAATAAAATATAATAGAAAGTCTCAGTTCCAGGAACTACTCTGAAACATAGACCTAAGAGGAATTCACAGGGGCATTACACAAAGTGACAGCATTTTGCTAATGGACTGTTAGCCATAGATACCCTCTACGGAAGACTGACTGGCCTCTATCTGGCAAAGTTTTTCTTGTTGTTGTTTGTTTGTTTGTTTTTTAGGGGGTGCAATAGACGGATTTCTAAGGCAGCCTCTTAAAAATGCCCTGCCCTACCCCCCAGAAACTGTGACTACAGGATATCACACACGAGTATGTTTGTTACATGACAAAAGGGACTTTGCAGATGTAATGAAGGCCACTTGTCAGTTGACTTTAAGATGGGAAGATTATACTGGTTTATCTTGGTAGGCACAATATAATCACATGAGCCCTTAAAACCAGACAACGTTTTCTGGCTTATGACAGGGAGGAAGGCAAAGGGAAAGTCAGAAAGAGTCAGAGCAGAGGAAGAATTCAGTGTAACACTGCTGGATGAAAGATGGAGGGGGCCACATGAGAAGGGACTCAGGGGGCCCTTGTAGCAGACAGTGGACCCTAGCTGACAGCCAGTAAGGAAATGGGAATCTCAGTTCCACACTGCAAAAAAAAAAAAAAAAAAAAGATTCTGCCAACAATCTGAATAGGCTTGGAAACTGATTCATCCCCAGAACCTCTCAGAAAGAGTCCAGCCTGACGGAAACCTTGATCTGGCCCTTGGGAGACCCTGAGCAGAGAACCCTATTAAACCTACAAAGATTCTGACATACAGAACTGTGGGTGTTGTTTTAAGCCAGAGTGTTTGTGATCATTTGTTGCCGCAGCAGGAGGAAACTAGCACAGGCAGACTGCACATGGAGCAGGAGGAGAGGATGGAGACTGTAGTCCAGACAGCCTGAAAAGATAGTGTAGTCCAGTTGATCGAGGGGATGATTGGTGTCCTAGCTGTTTCACCTCTACCTACCAGACATAGAGGTAACAACATAACCTGTGAGATATGCATGTGAACCATCAGAGTATAGCTATCTATATATATAATTAAGGTTTTGTAGGGTTTCTCTTTTTAGGAAAGAAGTATAAGCAGTTGTTCTTACAAATCCGAATTTTAAGTGATATTATTTTTTAAAAAGAATTATTCCTCATCTAGAACTTCAGAAGTCAAAAAACCTTAAGATCCACATCAAAATGGTTTTAACGGTGTTTTTGCCTAACTCAGTAAACATAAAATTCAACATATCATACATCATGCCAGGCATTTTCCCACTTTCTCAATGATTTCTGTCGATTCAGTTTACTCATACCTACATTTTTCACCCAAAACAACTATTCCCTTTTCTAAAAGAGTGGACATCTGCTCACCTCAAAAACAACTATTCCCTTTTCTAAAAGAGGGGACATCTGTTCTTATTCAACCAGTATTGATTAAATGACCCTATTAGATGCCAAAACATTCTACTATTAATAAAAACTGATCGAAGCTGAACAAGATATAATCCCTTCTTTCAAGGAGATTCAAGAGATCTAGTATGGAGGACGTAAAACAAGAAAATATTCACTTACTAAGCTATCACAGGTCTAAAGAAGAAACCTAGAAACTGGAAACTGGATGATAAATAACTTGTGGAGGTTTAAAGTGTCACAGTGCAGAGACAGAATGTGAAGCCTTGTCATAGCTGTATATTTAAGTTTTTAGTTCACCTTTAAAACTTTTCTCTAGATATACAAATCATGACAGATGTGATGAATAAATTCCACAAGTGAAAAACACAGGTGAGGAAAATACCAAGTGTTATAATTTCATCTATAAACAGCTCAGTCTAATCAAGAGACAAAATGGTCAGAAAGCATTTGATCTGTTTTTTTTTCTTGATATTATTAGTTCTATAGCTAATACAATGTTTTCAGAGCTGGGGTTTATTTTTCTGACTTGTGTTATTAATTTGTTAGTATAAATTTGCACCTGTCAACACAGATTTACAGCAATGGAACTACCTACCACAAACATTATAGGCTTCAAGGACACTCAGTTAAGAGCTTGAAACACTTAAATTGCTTTAACACTTGCTACTATATTTCAGTTTTACTTATATGAAAACATAAATAGCTAGAGTCCTGATAGAAGAAAAAATTATTTTGGTAATACTTCTGATTTTCCTCCCGATTTTTCTTTCGAATTCCAAGGTTATTTTCATCTGTGAATCACTGCTTCCAAAACCAAATAATGATGATAGTAACTCTGCCCACATGGGGATATGGCAGGAAACAGGGCTAAATTTCACTTCCTACCATAGAGCAGTTCAAACGCAAAAACATTTGTATGCTTTGAAGTCATACCAACTCAGATCCTTTGCAGAATTTTTTTAGTAAATGCACTAAAAAGGGAAAATTTAAAAGGGGATTCATGTGCTTGGAATTGAACTGTGACATTAACTGAAAATATGAAATGATTCCTGCCCACAAGAAGTATTCAAGGTAGTTGACAGTAGAACAATACACTGAGTTTGACTGTAGGGACTACCTTCCATTCCCACTGCTCCTCATCTAATCCAGGCCTTCATCATCTCTTGCCAGGACAACTGCAAAAGTCTCTCAACTGCCCACCTGTCTACTACTCAAACACCTTTCAAATAGTATCCATCCCTGCTGTATACAGACTTAATCAAAATTCTTTGTTTGGATTATATTGCTTCCCTGATTAAAAGCATTTGATGGCATAGAAATGAATAAAATTCAAACTCAGTAAGCACTAAAGAAACCTATTTCCTGCCTTCTTCCCAACTCTCTCTCTCTCTAGCCTCTTCTCTTTAACCCCCTAGTCCTGCCATTTTAATGCATGATCCAACCAATCTTAGCTTTTTTGCCTTTATGCACCACACCTGGCTGTTTCATACCTCCAATGCCTTCTTGTTGCCTGGAGTGTTTTCTCTTCCACTCCCACACACTCTTACCCCAGTCTCCACAGGTAGAAGAGACCATCTCCTCCTTTGTGTTGCCTCGGTATCCTCCATAGACTTCCTTCCATCAGACCTTTGTCATCCAGGCTGGAGTGCAGTGGTGCCATCACAGCTCAGAGTAATCTCAAACTTCTGGGCTCAAGTGATCCTCCCGTCTCGGCCTCCTGAGTAGTTGGGACTACAGGCATGCACCACCACTATGTTTGGCTAATTGTTTCATCTGTTAAAATCTGTTGAGCAAACAAGGTCTCACTATGTTATCCAGGCTATTCTTGAACTCCTAGGCATAAGTGATTCTCCTACCTCTGCCTCCTAAATTGCTAGGATTATAGGCGTGAGCCACTATGCCCCGCCACCATCAGACCTCTTATAATGGATTTGGAGATACCTTTCTTTTCAGGTCTATACTCTATATTAACCTACAATAAGGCAGGGGTCATGTCTTCTTCTTTGTATCTCTCAGAACTGTCTAACTGTCTTCAAGGACATTAAAACATTGCTAGAAATAGAAAACCCATATATGAAACAACTACAAATACAAACAAACAGTATAAAAAGAAATGTTAAAGTATATGTATCATGCTCTGTCCACATTGAAAGTTCTATGAAGTCACAAGGTATGGTAGAAAGAGTTTTAGTGTTAGACAGACGTGAATTCACATCCTGACTCTTCCACCTCCCAGGTGTGTGAGCATACATACCTCAGCTAATTTCCCAATAGTGCCCACCTCACTGAGTAGCTGTGTAAACATTAGATGAGATGTGACAATCCATCACAGTAGTTGCTAAGAAAATACCTATTCTCATACCACTTCACTGAGAAGGGAGAGTGACTATATGTACCAAATTACTCAAGTATAACTGCTTAAAGTAGGTGAGATTTGAGCTTGACCTTGAATAGAAAGAAGAATTTGGACAGATAGATTTTTATACAAACTGCCATCCATATGGAGAAATCACTGTAAAGAAGGCAGCTGACCTGCTTAAAACTCTTCCCAGATGTACCTAAGACCCAGCTTTCAGATGCTCTATCACTCCCACAACTCATCTCTCAGAGCAATGTGAGAGTCATTATACATGAACGCAATCCAGCTTCAAAACTCCTTCGTAAATTAGAGAGAAAATGTAAAATAGTAGTAATGGTATTTAGAAAAGATTCATTATTTAATGAAAGAATGTTCCTAAAAATGATATTGAGCTGTTCACTTGTTTGCACAGAAGTACACATTAGACTAACAGACATCAGAGCTGGCACGACAATATCTACCAACATTCAAGCAAACACAGGGTAGGTAATAATTTCCATGTGTGGATGGTTCCAGTGTTAACAAAGCAGTCTAAAGCAATCTCATTTACTTTTATGGTTAAGTATTCAAGACGCATCTTTTTTTTTAACATCCGAATGTTTTCATGGCTGAAGGGAGACCAGTATAGCCTGGAAAACAATTTACAATGATGTGTAAAGTAGTTACATTTTCCAACAAGTCTGTTTCTTCAATTATTCCACCTATATTAATAGCTCTTCATGGCATTTGATAGATAATAGTCCCAATGCAATCACCCACTTCAGCTGGAGAAGAGCAAGTGCTATCCAAATAGAAAGAGTCCAAGTTTGCAGTTGATTACAAACTCAGGCCTTTGTGCAGACCATTCCCAGCACCGGCTAGCTGTCACTGAGAAAGGGTGCTGTTGGCAGGCTGCCCTGCTATCACTCTAACGCCAGTTCATTCTGTTTCAGATCTGCAGCTAGGTTTGTGCTATCAGAAAACCAAAGCAATTGATTCCTGTCTTCTACTGTTTAGATAAGTGGAACAATGTGTAATTTGGTTTAGGTAAAAAAAGAAAAAGAAAAAATATAAATTGTAGGAAAAGGCTTAAAGAAAGAGATAAAGACACAAACAGGATTTTTCTCCATCTCTTGAACTCAGTATGAATTTAATAAATTTAAAGAGATTTATAACGAATTGAAATAAAAAATCCAAAGATAAGAACTGAAAGTAAAAGAATGCAATGTTGTTGAAGTACTCATTTTCGATACCATTCACGATCATCATATGTGGACAACTGCCATCGATTCTGAACTGGGGTCCCAGCTTAGGCTTTTGCCCCCTGTAATCTTACCCACACATAATATCCACAGTTAGTCTTTTTAAATAGTAAGTCAAATACTATCATTTCTTTGCTCAAAATTCTTGAATGGCTTCCACCCTCATTCACAATAAAATCTAAAGTATTCACAAGCGTTTAGTGAACTTTCCAGCCTCACTTCATCACCCTCCTAATGCTTACTCCAACCAAGGCATACTCTGAACTCACAAAACACTAAGCCAGCTCCCACCTGCTGTCTACACCCCAACCCCCGCCAATGGCAGGCTTTCTTTTCACTCAGGTTTCTGCTCAAATGTCACCTACCCAGGGAGGTCTTCCCTGACCACACATCACTATCATCCTCTGCTTCACTGCTCCTCTTAGCAGTTATCAATACTTCACATTAAATTACTTATCTGTCTCACCCATTAGAATATTAGCTGCAAGATGGGGATGTTGCATCTCAGAGCATGGAACACTGGAAGCTACATGGTAGACACTCAAAAAATGTCGCGGCAGAAAGTAAGGGAGGAAAGGAGAGAGAAAAAAGGAAGTTTTCCTTGTCTTACTACTCAAATGTTGGTGTCTTTGCTCCCCAAATAACTGAATGTGTAGGCTAATTGGAGAACAACTATTTATGTCCCTGGATCGATTTCCTAGAGATAGTAACATTAGGAAAAGAGCAAGGGCTTCGGAAACAAAGAAACCTGGATTTAAATCCCATCTCCATCACCAAAGAGCTTTTTGACTTTGAACAAGTTTTTTAAACTCTGTTGAACTTTACAGTTGGTAAGCCTTTAAACACCCGTTAAGTATTGGCTAGGCACTAGAGATACCTCAGAAAAACTGAGAGAATTAAATTAACCAAACTCCATTAAAAGTAGCTTGGCAAAAATGCATGATTAATAAATATTAGCTCTCTGTTCCCTACCCCATCTACCTCATCCTCCCAGCAGCTTTACCTGCCCAATAAATGCACCTTGGATAAGCAAAAGGAAGAGTGGCTGCTGGAAGACTATGAAACCTACAATGAACAAACAAAGTAACTCCAGTGAAAACACTTTGAAAAGGGCAGTACAGTATACAAATAAACTGAAGAAGTTATCATTCCCTTTGTTAAAAATGTACTGCAGAACCAGTTTTTCATGTCTTGAACTTGTAGTAAGTAAATTAGCTTGAGGACACTCCAAGTAAAAAGGACTCTGGGGCAAAGAATAAGCCAAGTGAAGATGAAACAGAGAAAAGAAGACAAAGTGTTCCAAGGGGGAATAACTACTCTTGACAAAGCACTCCAGAACGCCAGGTGTCTGAACATCAGGGAACTGACTGGCCAGCACCTCCAGTAAGTGCTCCATCAGACTCACACTGACTCCAGTTTCCATCTTCATAGGAGAAGAAATACAAGCCCACAACATCACAAACAAGCCCTTAGGTCGTCTGCAGCCATCTTTCCCACTGATGTGTGGTCGTGATCAAGCTCTGGGAAGGACAGGATAGAAGATACAGTGAAAATCACCCCACCAATCAACAGAAGTGAGTAAAATATAAGCAACAGGAGAACACTGTTCATATTTATCCTCATCCTACATGGACTCTCCCTAAATTGCCTCCCTTGAGCACACAGTACTTCAGGGAAGAAAATTAACATTCCTCTGAGTTCCTGAAATATGTTGGGTCTTGGGATCTTCACCATCACATACATTGTCTCATTTTATCACCACAGTAATCCAAGAAAATCCCCATTTTCTAGAGGAAAAAGCTGAGACTTAGGAAGCTGATGAAAGTATTAAAGCCAGAAATAGCATTTAGCACTAACTCTATAAAAAAAAGAAACAAGTCATCTCTTGCATTTGTATACTAGAACTTTATAAATTACAGTGTTTTCACAGGCATTCCCCTAAATTAACTTCCACAAACATACCTTCGAAGGCAAATCATACAGTATTAGTATCTCACTACATAACCGAAAAAGCTGAGGCTCAGAGCAATTGAATGATTTGTCTAAAACTGCACAGCAAGTAAGTGGCAGAACTGGGAGACTTGAACCTACTTCCCTAATTCTGGGAATGGTGCTCTTTCCTCTAAGAGATGATTCCTACTTCTCAAAAGAGAAGTAGATGTATGTAAACCACATGCATTTTAAAATTTGAGCTGGAAAAGGACATAGTTACCATCTAGAACCTGTAAGTAATAACCCAATCCCCCTGAGTTATCTGGGTGACAAAAGCTGTTGATACCTCAAATCTCCATGGCTCAGCACCATGAAGACTTACTTCTAACCCAAGTGAAAGCTCAAAACAGGTACTGTAGATATACAGTAGTTCAAAGATCCAGGTTTCATTTATCCTTCACTTGGGCCTCTGCACCCAGGCAAAGGGGAAAAAAATGGACACACATCACTTCAGTTTCATTCTACTGGGAGCACTAGTCACAGGCCATTCCTGGATGCCAGTGGCCATGTGGTACATGGCTGTGCAGCCACTTCACATGAACAACTCTACACTATGAAAAGCAGAGCATGAATTATAAGTGAATAGCTAGTTATCTTTGTCATTCCCTACTAACATAACCAATCATGGAACAAAAAACGGCTATGAGGTAATACCCTTAAAGTCAGGAGCCAGCTTAAATTGTTTTACACAGCCACAAACAAGCATAATATTTTCAAACATTATTTGATCCTGCTGCTATATAGTCTTCCAAAGTATACAAATAATAACAAATAAATGTAATTTGCCCCTAAGGATAGTATATTCTCATCCATCAGGGAATATGAGATCACCTGGGATGAACACTAAATTTTAAAAATGTAGATTTCCAGGACCCAGACCCAGTAATTTTTACATAAGTGCTTCTGATGCCTCAGGCCCACAGACCATACTTTGTGAAATACTGCCACATAACCACAGTTATTTCATGACTAGTGATTATATAATGGCTCCTTAAATGTTAGACTGGAGAGAGGAGAAATACATCAGCCATCCAACAGCCTCCTCGAAAAACCCAGCAGAAGTCAGCTCCAGGAAGGAGCAGGAAATCTTTGTGGTTTCAGATTTTCCACATTCAAACATACACCCACTCCCACAAAGGGTTTGTTTTGCTGTCTAGGTCCTACTTTCTGGTCTCCTTGACACCGCAGAAACAACTTGGCCCTTCGCAAAGACTCAGATAATTTCAAATGGCAGGAGTTGCCTCACAAGGACAAAGGAGACAAAGATGGATTGGGCACACCTAAGACCTAGAAAAAATAATATCTGTATTTAATAACTTCTATTTTACCTACAACACTGTGGCTCTCTCTGGAGCAAGGAGAAAGTAGGGTATGAGGTACCGGCTACACTCAAGCTACAAAACAGTTGTTGCTCATTAACCTTGTATAACGTGACATCTGATTCTTCCTTAACACAGGTAACAAATCACTTCTCATATCAGGGAGTTGCCCCAGAAGCCTTCAAACTATTTTAAGCCTAGTGCCGTGTCCCAGAAATCATTCTAAATGTTATCAATGGTGATCCTGAGAAATTCAAGCACAGTCAGTCAAAGAAAGTAATTCAAAATATTTTCCACTTTGTGAGTCTTTGGAAGACCTTTTTATTGGAAAAACAGAAAAATAAATTAAGATTCAGAATGCTTGGCTTCATCCGGATTGCCAGGTTTTGCAATTGTTCATTGAATCAGATGGGACTGAAAAAAAAAAAGGCAGTCAGAGAGTACCTGAATGTCAGCTGGGGCAGGAGAGACTGGGGATAAAAATAAAACCAACTTGGTAGCTGATTAAACCTGCAGCAGGGCCTGGCAACTGTGGTGGGGGGAGGGAGTTATGATCTGGGCATGCCATAATGCTCCCACCTACCTAGGGGTCTCCAAGAGCATGACACTTTGATAAGGCTCCAGTCTAGAGACCGCTAGAGAGTAACCAGTAACACATACACACTCTCCTTAGAGCCCTGGGAAATTTCAAATTCTCCAACATGGAGGATCCAAATTATTGTCTACAAGCTGAAATATGCCCAAGCTTATGCCCCCACCCAGCACTCATAGCCGTTATCCTCCACCTGCCTTGCAATTCTAATCAGACACCACCTCCACCATGTTGTATTCTTGCTGCTCCTTCTCCCACATACCTGACCTCACCATGTCACCAAGCTTCTCTTTTCTTACACAAGTAATTTCCAGACTTGCACCTACAAGGCATGGGTGGGTTACTTGCCCCTCCAGGTCACTGACTCCAGAGGCAATCTTTTCTTCTCATCTCCTCTCCACCTCCACATCCAGCCAAGCTGTCTCCCACCCCTCCACTTCCCGTTTCCCCAGTCACCCAGATTCAGGCATTGCCCTTGTCCCCCTCACAGGTTCCTGTCTGTAATTCCTGCCTCCAGTTTCTCATCACTCCAATGTACCCTTTAAACTATGCCTAGACTATTTGGTAAATAACTAACCATTAACATTTCAACCCTGAATAAGGTGGATGTTACTGATTAATGGTGCCAATTCTTCAACTTTCCTTGAATCTATGTCCTTTACCATGTAAATCTGCAGTTCCCTTTCACACTGACTTGAATTGGTCATGAGACTTGTTTGGCCTATAAGA
Source organism: Homo sapiens (assembly GCF_000001405.40). NCBI lineage: Eukaryota > Metazoa > Chordata > Mammalia > Primates > Hominidae > Homo > Homo sapiens. The sequence continues at coordinate 118,534,960 of NC_000005.10, forward strand.
TGCTTACTTGAGAAGGATTTGCAAACTGACCTTGCTTACTCTTGTGCTTCTACAATTGCCATGAGAACATTCATGGGCTGGCCTACTGTATGAGAAGCATGTGAAGAGCTGGGGAGCTCCAGCAAGAGCAACCTTATACCAGCCAAAAGCCCAACACCAGACATATGAGTGAGCCCAGCTGAGACCAAAATTATTCAATTAAGTTCAGTGTAACTCACCAACAGACTAAATAAATGCTTATTGTTTTAAGCTGCTGTTTTGTGGGGAGATTTGGTATGAGACATTATGGTGGCAACAGATAGCCAATAGGACAATACACAATACAATGAGATTATTTCAAAAGATATTCTGCCCATCCTGTTCATAATCAAAGCTTCCCCTTCATGTCACCATCTGTCTAGTTCCTGAGACTTCCACCCTTCTATTTGTAGGTTTTACGTGCCCCTGGGCCAACAGACAGAATAGATCAGATCTGAACAGACCTTTACTATAGACCTTTCTTCCACATGCTTGAGAAGAGAAGATTCCTGGTAATTGGTGATATTCAACATTTTGTGATGAGACCAGTAAGTAAGCAGTGACTCAGTTTCCTTACAGTTAGAACTGGTGACAGAAGGTGTCCAATGCAGAAACAGTTAAGGTTTTACAGTCTAGCCCCTCAATTTGGGAAAATTAATGCCAAAAGTGTGTATCTGAATCTTTCTCTTACACTGACCAGCAGCTTCCCAGAAAAATGGTTGTGTTTTCACAGGATATGTTTCTGACTGGTCTCACGTCCATGTGTGGGCGATCCAGGGGAGAGAGCAGAACCCATCAGAGAAGTCCTTGAGATACAAATGGAAGGATTTGTTAAGGATTGTGCAAAAGGAGAAGAAACCAATCAGTACTTTGACTTATTGCCCCACAATTTGTGTTTTCTCTCCCCAAGTTGAATACAAATTATTTGAGAACAAGTTTTCAATTCAATCCTCTTTTGAGGTGGCAATAGAGGCAACAGAAAAAAACTGGATTTAAAATCATGAACTCTGTCATCAGGGAAAGCAACTTAATCACTGTTTTCTGTGGGTTAGAGTTGTCTGTTGTCTTATGTAATCACAGAATATAGAGAATATGTAGATGATGAATGGGTAGAATAAGTAGATCAACTAAATGTCACCTTCTTACTCTAAGAAAACACACTCTGTCACCCTAGCCCATTATTCTCTCACATTCCTATGTTTTATTTTCTTCATAGCACTTTATTATTATCCATAATAATCTTATATATCTATTTACATATCTATTTTCTATTTTCCTCAAGTCAAATGTAAGCACCATGAAGGCAGAGTCTCCACAAGAGGAGGATTCCATGAGGGTGTATCATTTACTATTGCATCTCCAGCTTTCAGAAATTGTTAGTCACATGGCAGGTACTCAGTGAATAATAACTTGAAGGAAGAAAAGACGGTAAGAAGAGAGAGAGAGGAGGAAGGAAAGAAAGGAGGAAGGGAAGGAGAAAAAGATTAATGGGTGCATGGAAACTTTATCTTCAGAGTTATCTAACTTCCTATTAATAACATCCAATCCATCAAAGGAATTATATTTCTTTGGGCACACTTGGGGTTACAGAAAGAATTTCAATTCATAAAGAGACAGGCAAAAACATTTTCTTTGCATTATAAAAAGTACTTGGTATTCATACAAATATTTTAATCCAAAGATTTCTGTGTTCTCTAACTGATAACCTATTCTCTAAATTTTTAAGTTTGGGAATTCTTCATATAAATACACAAATGGACCCAGTGAAGGACCGCAGAACGAGCCATCTAACACTACTTAGCGTATTTCCTTGTCTGCATAATTAAAGAGTTGGATAACATAGTTTTTATGATTTCTTTTGAAACTCTATAAGTTAATGATAATTAGGAAAGCCATCGCTTCTGGTTTCAAGCTCTACTGCAAGAAACCATAATATTCACCATATATATTTTCAAAATTAAGTAACTACTGAAAAGCATGAAAGCTGAATGGGGTGCTATACATTCATGTTTAAGCTTGCTGAAGAAAGGTCAGCTGGAATTACAAAATTCTGATTTAAAAATACTCCTCTGCCAACATTAATTTTGAATGCGAGAATTAGATACCTTAGAGCCTAAAGGAGCATTATATGGCCAGGGACCTCAACTCTAACAAAGGCAGGCCTGCCAGCAGCTCCAGCTACAGTCAAAGATGTACAAAATGCTCCCTGTCCTGTTGGATAATAAAATTTTCTGAATTTCTATTTGCCTCCTTGAAATGAGGCATGAATGAGGACCCAAGATGAGATTAATATAGTCTCTTTTCCATCCTCTTGATTCACCCCCATCACAGTAGGTGTCTTAGTCCAGGCTCTTTTGTTTGCAAGTAACAGAAACTCTCTTAGCATGGTTAAGGGAAAATAGCATGCTTTTCATAATGGAATAATGCTATCTTGTGGAATCTGGGACACGAAGGTGCCTGAGCCCTAGTAGGAGTAAACATTTTGTTACCAGTAGGAACAAGGCCACCCACTCTCTTGATCTTGGTTCTTAGATCCCCTGCTCTGCTCTGCTCTGCTCTATCTGCCTCAGGGATTGTTACATTCTCCTTGCCTATGGCCACCACCCAGCGCCCTGGTTTATAGAACCTCAGTTCAAGCCATGTGTAGAGGCTGAAACTAACACCCCCTCCACCAAATCCAAAGTCCTGGGAAAGAGATTCTGATTAGCCCACACTGGGCCAAGTAACCTCCTTTATTCAAATCAACTGTGACAAGAGGGCAAATATGACTGTGAAGAATTCATCTGTGAGTCAAGAAAGGGCAGCCATGGGAAAATAAGGTCATTATGAAGACACTCCAAAGAGAGGCAGCAATAACATCTTCACAAGGACTCTATTAGGAGGGAGGCCCTTCTCATACAAGCTAAGAAATGACCTGTGTTAAGGTTCTCCTAGAGGGACAGAACTTACATGACAGATCATGTCAGTTAATAACTAATAGGATATATATACACACACACATATACATATATACATGTATATATATTTATAAAGTTTATTAAGTATTAACTTACGCGATCACAAGGTCCCACACTAAGCTGTCTAAAAGCTGAGGAGCAAGGAGAGCCAGTCCGAGTCCCAAAACTGAAGAACTTGGAGTCCAATGTTTGAGGGCAGGAAACATCCAGCACAGGAGGAAGATGGAGGCTGGGAGGCTAGGCCAGTCTCGCTCCTTTTCACATATTTCTGCCTGCTTTATATTCGCTGGAAGCTGATTAGATTGTACCCACCAGATTAAGTGTGAATCTGTCTTCCCCAGCCCACTGACTCAAATCTTAATCTCTTTTGGCAACACCCACACAGATGCATCCAGAATTAATACTTTGTATCCTTCAATCCAATCAAGTTGACACTCAGTATTAACCATCACATGAGCAGAGTGAAGACGCTTCCCAACAGGCATCTTGAGTTGCCACAAACAGTGGCTTAAAACAACACACACTGATTACTTTATAATTCTGTAGATCAGAAGTCCAACATGGGTCTCACTGGGCTAAAATCTAGGTGTTAGCAGGGGAGACAGTCTACATATCTATGGGAGAATACACAGTATTCCCTTTCCTTTTCCAGCTTCTAGAGGCCATTCACATAGTTCCGTCTTCCATCTGCAAAGTGAGCAAAGTTGCATCTCTGACCATTCTTCCGTCATCATATCTCTTTCTCTGGCCACAGTCTAAGGGCTTCTCTGATTTTAGGGGCCCATGTGATTAGATTGGCACCACTCAGAGAGTCTACATTATCTCCCAATCTCAAGGACTTTAACTTAATCACATCTGCAAGTATATATATACTGTGTATATATATACTGTGTATACATATATACTGTGTATATATATACTGTGTATACATATATACTGTGTATACATATATACTTGTATATATATACACAGTGTATATATACACAGTGTATATATATACTGTATGCACATACTGTGTACATATATACTGTGTGTATATATATACTGTGTACATATATACTGTGTGTATATATATACTGTGTACATATATACTGTGTGTATATATATACTGTGTGTATATATATACTGTGTGTATATATATACTGTGTGTATATATACTGTGTGTATATATATACTGTGTGTATATATATACTGTGTGTATATATACTGTGTGTATATATATACTGTGTGTATATATATACTGTGTGTATATATACTGTGTGTATATATACTGTGTATATATATACTGTGTGTATATATACTGTGTGTATATATATACTGGGTGTATATATACTGTGTGTATATATATACTGGGTGTATATATACTGTGTGTATATATATACTGGGTGTATATATACTGTGTGTATATATACTGGGTGTATATATACTGTGTGTATATATATACTGGGTGTATATATACTGTGTGTATATATATACTGGGTGTATATATACTGTGTGTATATATATACTGGGTGTATATATACTGTGTGTATATATACTGGGTGTATATATATACTGGGTATATATATACTGTGGGTATATATATACTGGGTATATATATACTGTGGGTGTATATATACTCTGTGCGTATATATAATCTGTGCGTATATATACTGCGTGTATATATACTGTGTGCGTATATATACTGTGCGTATATATATACTGTGCGTATATATGTGTGTATATATATACTGTGCGTATATATACTGTATGTATATATACTGTCTGTATATATACAGTGTGTATATATATACTGTGTGTATATATATACTGTGTGTATATATACTGTGTGTATATATATACTGTGTGTATACATACTGTGTGTATATATATACAGTGTGTATACATACTGTGTGTATATATACTGTGTGTATACATACTGCGTGTATATATATACTGTGTGTATACATACTGTGTATATATATACTATGTGTGTATACATGCTGTGTGTATATATATGTGTATATACATACTGTGTGTATATATATACCGTGTATATGCATACTGTGTGTATATATATACCGTATATATGCATACTGTGTGTATACTGTGTATATACATACTGTGTATATATACTGTGTATATACATACTGTGTATATATACTGTGTATATACATACTATGTGTGTATATATACTGTGTATATACATACTGTGTGTATATACTGTGTGTATATACACTGTGTGTATATAAATACTGTGTGTATATACACTGTGTATATATATACTGTGTGCATATATACTGTGTATGCATATATACTGTGTATACATATATACTGTGTATATATATACTGACTATACATATATACTGTGAATATACTGTGTATACATATATAAAGTGAATATAGATACTGTGTATAAATATATACCATGTATACATATATGCGGTGTATATATATACCATGTATATATATACTGTGTGTATATATGTACCGTGTATATATATACCGTGTGTATATATACCGTGTGTACATATACCGTATATATATATACCGTGTGTAAATATACCGTGTATATATATATACCGTGTGTATATATACCGTGTATATATATATATACCGTGTGTATACATACCGTGTATACATATATACTGTGTGTATATATACCGTGTATATATATATACTGTGTGTATATATACCGTATATATATATATACTGTGTGTATATAAACCGTGTATATATATATACTGTGTGTATATATACCGCGTATATATATACTGTGTGTATATATACCGTGTATATATATATACTGTGTGTATATATACCGTATATATATATACTGTGTGTATATATACCGTATATATATATACTGTGTGTATATATACCGTATATATATACTGTGTGTGTATATATACCTGTATATATACTATGTGTGTATATATACCTGTATATATACTGTGTGTGTATATATACCGTGTTTATATAGTGTGTGTATATATAATGTGTATATATATACTGTGTGTATATATATACTGTGTATATACTGTGTATATGTATACTGCGCGTATATATATATACTGTGTATATATATACTGCGTGTATATATATTCTGTGTGTATACATACTGCGTGTATATATATACTGTGTGTGTATATATAAATTGTGTGTGTATATATATACTGTGTGTGTATATATACACTGTGTGTCTATGTACTGTGTATATATACACTGTGTGTCTATGTACTATGTATATATACACTGTGTGTCTATGTACTGTGTATATATACACTGTGTGTCTATGTAATGTGTATATATACACTGTGTGTCTATGTACTGTGTATATATACACTGTGTGTCTATGTACTGTGTATATATACACTGTGTATACGTATAATGTGTATATATATACTGTGTGTATATGTATAATGTGTATATATATACGCTGTGTATATATATACTGTGTGTATATATATATATGCTGTGTATATATATACTGTGTGTATATATACTGTGTATTACATAGTGTGTGAATATATAGTGTGTATATACATACTGTGTATATATAGTCTGTATATACATACTGTGTATATATATATACTGTGTATGTACATATTGTGTATATATATACTGTGTATGTACATACTGTGTATATATATACTGTGTATGTATATACTGTGTGTATATATATACTGTGTGTATATACACTGTGTATATATACTGTGTGTATACACTGTGTGTATATATATACTGTGTATACATATATACTGAGTATACATATATACTGTGAATATATATACTGTGTATACATATATACCGTATATATACCGTGTATATATATACTGTGTATATATGTACCGTGTATATATATACTGTGTATATATGTACCGTGTATATACATACTGTGTATTTATATGTACCGTGTATATACATACTGTGTATATATATGTACCCTGTATATATATACTGTGTGTATATATACCGTGTATATATATACACTGTGTGTATATATACCGTGTATATATATACACTGTGTGTATATATACCTTGTATATATATATACTGTGCGTATATATATGCTGTGTATGCATGTACTGTGCGTGTATACAGATGCTGTGTATGCATGTACTGTGCGTGTATACAGATGCTGTGTATGCATGTACTGTGCGTGTATACAGATGCTGTGTATGCATGTACTGTGCGTGTATACAGATGCTGTGTATGCATGTACTGTGCGTGTATACAGATGCTGTGTATGCATGTACTGTGCGTGTATACAGATGCTGTGTATGCATGTACTGTGCGTGTATACAGATGCTGTGTATGCATGTACTGTGCGTGTATACAGATGCTGTGTATGCATGTACTGTGCGTGTATACAGATGCTGTGTATGCATGTACTGTGCGTGTATACAGATGCTGTGTATGCATGTACTGTGCGTGTATACAGATGCTGTGTATGCATGTACTGTGCGTGTATACAGATGCTGTGTATGCATGTACTGTGCGTGTATACAGATGCTGTGTATGCATGTACTGTGCGTGTATATAGATGCTGTGTATATATGTACTGCGTGTATACAGATGCTGTGTGTATATACACTGTCTGTATATATGTACTATGTGTATATACACTGTCTGTATATATGTACTGTGTGTATATACACTGTATATACTGTGTGTATATACACTGTCTGTATATACTGTGTGTATATACACTGTCTCTATATACTGTGTGTACATACACTGTCTCTATACACACTGTGTGTATATACACTGTCTCTATACACACTGTGTGTATATACACTGTCTCTATACACTGTATATATACACTGTGTGTATATATATACCGTGTATATATATATATACTCTGTGTATATATATACCGTGTATATATATATATACTCTGTGTATATATATACCGTGTATATATATATACTCTGTGTTTATATATACCGTGTACATATACTCTGTGTATATACATACTGTGTACATATATATTGTGTATATATATACTGTGTATATGTATCACTGTGTATATATATACTGTGTATATGTATCACTGTGTATATATATACTGTGTATATGTATCACTGTGTATATATATACTGTGTATATGTATCACTGTGTATATATATACTGTGTATATGTATTACTGTGTATATATATACTGTGTGTATATATACTGTGTATATATATATTGTGTGTATATATATACAGTATATATAAATATATATATATATTTATATATGATATATAATATATATAAGTATATATATATTTATATATGATATATATAAGTATATAAATATATATATTTATATATGATATGTATAACATATAAGTATTTAAATATATATATTTATATATGATATATATAATATATATGTGTAAAAATATATAAATATATATTTATATTTATATAATATATACTTATATTTATAAATATATAAATATAAATATAAATATAAATTATATTATATATATTTATATAAATATTTATATATTTATATAAATATATAAAATATTTATATAAATATTTTATATATTAAATATATATATTTACATATTAAATATATAAACATATAAATATAGAAATATATATTAAATATATAAACATATATAAATATATAAATATATATTAAATATATAATCATATATAAATATATAAATATATATATTAAATATATAAACATATATATATAATATAAATATATAAATATATAAATATATATTTATATAAATATGTAAACATATAAAATATTTAAATATGTAAACACATAAAATATTTATTTGAATATATAAACACGTAAAATATTTATATAAATATATAAATATATAAAATATTTATATAAATATTCATATATATTTAATATATATTCATATATTATATGTTTAATGTATATATATTGATATATTAAATATATAATATATATTGAGTATATACACATATATTTAATATAAATATATATATTTAATATATATTTATATATTTAATACATAAATATATATTTATATATTTAATACATAAATATATATTTATATAAATCTATAAATCTATAAATATATATTTATATAAATCTATAAGTATATAAATCTAGATTTATATAAATCTATAGATTTATATAAATATATAAATCTATATTTATATAAATATATTAATCTAGATTTATATAAATATATTAATCTAGATTTATGTAAATATATAAATCTAGATTTATAGAAATATATAAATCTAGATTTATAGAAATATATAAATCTAGATTTATAGAAATATATAAATGTTGTTTTATATATTTATATATTTATATAAATCTATATTTCTATATAGTTATATATAGAAATACATAGAAATATATATTTCTATGTATTTCTATATGTAAATATATATAAATATATATATTTCTATATATTTCTATATATAGAAATATATATCTACATATTTCTATATATATAATTATATATAAATATGTAGATGTATGTTTCTATATATATATAAATATATAGATATATATTCATATAAATATATAAATACATATTTTTATATATTTAGAACAATGTCTGGCTTGCAGAAAACATTATCCTTACCACCACCATCATCATTACCATCTTCTTCTTTGTCACTATCAATATTTCAGGCTTAAAGTACTAATAAATATAAAGGCTGGAAGTTCTCTACATATTGGAAGGAGCTCCAGGATGTCAATGGACAATTTACCATTCTGGTCTTCTTTGTTCTCAAATTCAGTCATTGGTCATATGCACTCCTCTATTGAATTTATTGCCTCCTTACAGTTAGAGACTTTAACTCCTTAATGCTATTTTTTTTTCTTCTAGCAGTCTAGGAAAATCCAATTCCTAGCCCATCCATTTTTTACGTTTCTGTAGGTATAATTTCTCTTACAATAAAAGGACAAATCAAACTCCACTTTTAGAAACATCTTAGAAATACAATGTGGCCTCTTAGTAACCAGGTAACTCAAAATGTGACATGCTGCTTAAACTCTCATCCAAACTGTTTTCTTGTATGAACAATTGAATCAATTACTGTTTTCACCTCAAATGTATTTCAGCCTCCATTTTTTTCCGTTTCTTCTACACACACTTTACTGTTTTCATTTGCATTCCAAATGTTTTCCTTGAACTTTTTGTGGTTTTATTTCTGTCATCATCTCCCACTGTCTCCAATTCTTCCTAATTTCTTTGGACACTTAGGGCCAACTGTTTTCCTACTTCTTTGCTCGGGCTCCCCATCTCTCTCCTCAACTTTCTCTCTCCCCTCATGCTGTCTCCCCCTCTGTTCTTTCCTGCTCCATATGCTGCCTGCCTCTCACTTCCCCTTTAGCTATAGACAGTCTAAAGCTGCTTATCAGCCTTCTTCTTGTCGGCGCACAGTTGTTTGCCTGAATAGAGTTCAAGCAACTTCAACCCTTCTTTTTCCACCAGTGTCTCATGACTTTTACCCCCATGCTCTGCTGCTTACCCCTCCCTCCCCTGCAAGGCTTCAATCTCTGCAGAACTCTCACTTTTTCTCTATTTCCATTTCTTCATCTCTGTCCCTTCTCTGGGAGTTTCCAATATCTCTCACTACCTAAAGTCTGCAGCAGAATCCTCTCTGCTAGGCTTATAATGTAATTAATTTCCTCATAGCTTACTATGTGAGTATAATACTTCTTAGAATGTGTGCCCCTTGAGTACAGAAGCCTAAAGTCAAGTCTTAACTATGCAAATATTCAGGGCTGATGTCAAGAGCTAAGAAGGTACATGATGTAGTAGTGAATTGCGCATGGATCTTAAAGCCAGTACTTAAGAATAACTCTACCACTAAGTCTTCATTTGAATAAAATGATTTATTTAACCTCTCTGGATCTGTGTCATTTCTGAAATATGATAGTCAAATTGTGGTCTCTTGTTCTAATCATCTTTGCTGAATAACAAATTTCCCTAAATTTAGTAGCACAAAGACACAATCATTTTATTATTTTCATGAGTTTTGTGGATTGAGAATTTGGAGAGGACACCGTGGCTCAGCTCTTCTCCATTCCATGATGTCTGGGGCTTGTACAAGGAGACTCAAACAGCTGTAGCTAGAATAACATGGGCTGGAAGATCCACTTTCAAGACAACTTCTTCATACACATATCTGGTAGCCTCTCCAGGTGGCCTGGACATCCTAAGTGCATGGTGGCCTCAGATAGTTGGACTTTGTACACAGGACTGAGAACTCCAAAATGTGATGATCCTGTTTGACAGGACAGAAAGAACACGGCATTCTATAACCTTGGAAAGCATATAGTATGCCCTCCACTCTACTGGTTAAAGCATTTACAAGTTCAGTCAGATTCAAGGGAGAAGAATTTGACTTCACTTTCCGATCAGGTTCCTGACATCGTAGGAAAGCACGAAGGATGGGAGTTATCGTGGTGGCCATCTGGAAAATTCAACACATCCCTGCTTTCCCTTCTAGCTCTAAAAATCTGATTCTATGCCTTACTTAGATTCCCAGTAGATATTCAATTAAAACATCTCCTCTGCTCTCCAGAAGGCAATTTGAGAAACACAGGATGTGGGCTTTTTATACATGTAACACAGTAAGAGGATAACATGAAACTATTCTTGTTCAAGCATTGAGGTATGTGTCACACATTGAAATCTTGTAAACATAATGTGAATTCAAACAAAGAAGGTGTCATCAAAGGTCCCATTAGTCAAAGAGAGTCCATAGACTCAGAAAATTTACTGACCCTTAATTGTTCACATTATTTTATTTAATCTTATATTAATCCTGAGCAGTAAATATCACATTCATTTTTTTTTTTTTTTTTTGAAGATCAGGAAGCTGAGCCTCAGAGTTTTAAAAAATTGGCCCCAGGTCCATGGTTAGTCTTATAGGTTTTGTTGCCACATTAGAGGTTGTAGCACAAGATTGAACTGTTTGGAGATGGGTTCTCTGTGTGGAATTTGCCATAACTAAGAACAACAAACGGCCCATTCTTAGCTTGGGAGACAATATGAAAGAAAGGCAAGAAGTAGCAGGGAGCAGGATAAATGAGGTGGGAGCAGTGGGCTAAGGAGGGACATTGCCTGGGCTACTCAAAGAGCAGAGTATTGGGTTGCAGCAAATCATGAGTTCTGTCTCGTGCAGCAATATCCACATATAACAACACATGAGGTTACTCTATTATCAATCAGAGAAAAAGGAGATTTGCAAACCTAGGCATTTGCCAGTCTCCACAATGGCCCCCAAAGACAGACTATCCTGCCTAATCTTCTAATCTTCTTGTTAATCACTTGTGGTAATGGGGTATAAAGACCTGGTTCTTGCCCATTACCATGCAAATTACTATTGTTGTACAGCATTTCATATTTCCAAAATATTTGACAATAATTTAGCAGCTACTACTCTTCATCTGGAAAGAGAGAGTAGGTAATAATCAGATAGTTTTCATTTGTCAGATGAAGACATTTGGCATTAAATCAAAGACAGGTATGAAAATTATAATTTCAAATTCTTCATTAAATCCCAGAAGCCACACACCCTCCACTACCACTTCATTTTTAAAATGATTTAAAAATCTTGAACGTTCATGAGATTATTTAAAATTTATAACACCTGCATTTCTGCCTTTAGTTTTAATTCTCTTATACTTTTTATGTTAAAGGATCCAAAGGGTACTGGGGTAGAAGAGAAAAGAACTAAACCAAAAACACAAGTCCATTCTCCCTTTATCGTTCACCTTCATTCTGCACATATTGTTTGACTGTGGACTGTGATGAGGGCCCTAAGTCTTTAGAGGACAAACAACCTAAGGGGAAGAGGGGGCAGGGCAGTACCAGAGCCTGTACAATGTTTAAATTACATGCAGACTCTGCTATTTAACTAAGAAAGATTCCACTGCCCATAGACTGAGGCACAAGCAGCTTGAGCTGGAAACAGAAAGGGCCCCCTAAGAGAGCAGAAGTCCCTGGAAGAAGTCAGATGCTTGACTCTCTGTTGCCAGCATAGGCTCCAAAATGTTCTGCCCCATCAACAGGTCAAACCCAGTCCTGAATGTGGCCCTACAGTAGCAGCTCTGTATGTGATTTCTGATGGTAGAACTAGGGTTGTAGGACCCTCTGACTGTGACACATGTCATGCCTCTGGGTTGACCTGTCTGACTGAGCTGGTGTTCTCTCTTTCTCCTCTATATGATATGCATGTAACTTCCTAGGTGTAAGAGGAACACATTTCAGCCCATAATATATAGGTTACCATTTGCCTGCTACAGTCATTGATCACGTGGACTAAAAGGCAGCACCTTATTGCCCCTTAGTTCTGTGGAGAATGACTCAGCCCAGCTAAAGAGATTCTGGCCTCAGCTATAGAACTTCACTGTTGTGGCCGTAACAACCAAAGACAAGAACAACGAACTTTTATCAAGCACATACTAAGTTCTAGTCACTCTGCTGAGTTTCATATACTTATCTCACTGAATCCTCACAAAAAAAAAAAACTCTCACATGTAACTACTAATTTTATTCTTATTTTACTGATGAGAAAAAGCAAGGCTCTTAAGAGATGTAGAATGTCACTACTGGGTGACAGAGTGGTATTTCAAACGAGGCATCTTAAAACCATGTTCTTAACCATATGCCAGTCTGATTTGCAGACTATGAGACTCTATAATCCTCTGCTCAGACAAGGGATGGCTGATCCAGAAAAAACAGCAGTGAGTGAGATGCTATGAAGAAGTCAAAGGCATAATACAAATGATCCCTGTTCTCTAAGCTAAGGTATCACCAAAATAAGATATCTATATAAACTGCAATAAATAACAGCACAAGATATAATATCATCAAACAGTACAACAGATCCTCAACATCCCAGACAGATACAAGATATTTCCAAGAAAAAATTTGAGGAAATTCATAAATTTTCTAAAAGCATGCAATTTTTCTCAGAAATTGTAGCTATGCATAGCTTCATAGATGGAATTGCCTCATACCTGATCAGAGTACAGACAAACTGAGCAGCAGATGGAGCTTGCTCAATCACTGAGTGACTCACACTACTCATAGCTTCCTAAAGATTGAAATTCATACCTCAGCACAGTTAACAATCCACACTGGGCCATGGGACAATCTCAGATTTTAGTTAGTCCTATGAATCCTATGAATAATAATACAGGAATTCCAAGGTTTAGCAAGCAAATTTATAGCCAAAATGAGAGGGGCAAGTAATATGTGAAAGGAGCTCAGAGATGAGACTTCACCAAGTCCTCTTCTGTATGACTTGCCTGCTTTCTCTTACCTGCTGATAAGATTTACACATCTGCCTGTAAGGCTGAATTAAGCCCCTACGGACTCTTTTTGCCTTCCTTTCAGGCTTCAGGGCTTTTCATCAAAGGGGTGTTGGGCTCCAAGAAACCACACACAGAGCATTTTATACCTTTTACCAAGGCTGGGCAGAGGGAGATCAGTTACTGTTAATTACAGATGCTTTCTGTCATAATGGGCCAGATTTTCAAAAGAGTCTCAACTGCAAAGCTCCCAAATGCCATGCACAAACCTGGTAATGGCCCATGCAAATTGAATACTTAGTGGGTCTGTGTGCATTCTGTTCCAGGGACTGCCTTTGAAAATTTAGCCCCATAACTCCAAAGCATTTGTAGCATCGTAATCTGTCATCATTAGCAACAATGCTTGACTCAGTGCTCAACATTCTTATTAAGCATGCAATTATGAATGCAGACAATGTTTAATCACTTTTACAAAAATACAGCTGTGTTGTTGGGGAGCTGTCATTTACTGCTCATTAATGATTGATTTTTTTAACCGTCTAAATTGTTTTCATGAGAACAGCAGATTAACTATAAAGAATTCATTATTGGTCATTAAGGAATATTAAAATGGAAAACCTTTACAAGATGTGTCCTGTCTTGCTATGTTCAGATGGGGCTGAAGCACTCTTGCCAATATGGGAGAGAAAACAAAAAAATCTTTCTGCCAGACCTCTGGCAAGGAGATAAAGCTGAGGAAAGGTGGGGTGAAAAGAGAAATCAAGAAAAAGATCTCTTTTTGTTGAAATAAAACATTGATTACATTTTACAATGGCAATAATGTACCCCAAATAATTACTTCAGCTATTGTCCAGCTTGTTTAAGCACTGACTGAGCTGTGGGTACCAATCGATTCAGTGCAGATTGTTAATAATGGACTATTTTGAAAACTTATAGCTGTTTCTCCATACCTCCCATACACAGGAAGACACTAATTTCTTTCCTACACTGCACACCTAATTAAAGATGAGTCAGGGCATTATTTTATGGCCAAGCTTTTTATACCCTGGATACAGAGAGCTGGGTTCTGTTCTATCAAATGTCTCCTGGAAATATTGTGATAAAATGCACTTATCCACAGCTACCTACAAAGATAATAAGTTGTAAAACCTGTTAAGACATTAGAAAGATCAGACTGCTCAATGTCATGCCCTCCCTGGATTTCCAGTTTGGATGCTCCCTGCACCCACGCCTGGGGCTCTTCATTTCCTCAGTTGCTCAGTAGTTTCCAGAATCCAGTCATGAGGAAGAAGTTTTTTCAACTACAGCTCTTTATTCTTCTGTTCTGGTACGCCCTTACTCCTGGTCTTCTCTGAAATGTCTGTCATAGTTCTTTTCAATAACATTTTGGATGTTTTTCTGACAACAACTGTAATATGTATCTTTTTTTGGAAAATATAGAAAAGCACATAAAAAAATGTAAAGCCATCTGTGGTCCTATACCTGGAAATAACCAGATATAATCACTGCTAATATTTTATATTTGCTTCCAGTATTTCTCCTATGAGCATGTTTATAGTTGTATGACCTTGGATGAGTTACTCATCTTCCTGGTGTTCAATTTTCCTTTTCTGTAAAATAGGGAAATAGTAGTTCCTATTTCATATGGTGATTATGAAGATTAAATAAGTTAAAATTTGGAAGGCACTTAGAGAAGTGTCCAACATAAATTAAGAGCTATGTACATTCTAGCTATCATAATCCTATACATTTTTGAGTGAAAACAGTATTAGGAGAATTCAAAAGGAAAGAAAGACCTCATTACTAACTAGTAAAAATTTTTAAATGTTAAAATTCACAAGTGATGCTGATGCTACAGGTCCAGGGAGCTCTATTCTGAGAACCACCACCTTATATTAAATAAGAGAAAAACCAACCACAAATGAGAAAAACACTAATAAGGAATGGGAGTATATATGGTCTAGTGAGTTTCCCCTGGGAAAAAGTTATTGTGGGATTTCACTGGGGTTGGTGCCACCTGGAATGATGTGGTAAGTGGAAATGACTTCTAAGCAAAATAGCTGGTGACCCATCATCACTTTGGTTTGAGTCATTGCCAGGTGGTACATCTTTTAGTTACACATCCATGTTGTTTTGCCCAGGATATTCCAGCATTATATTTGGAAGAAATCACCAGAAATTGGAAACTCAGGTCTGAGAAAAGCAGATACTCAGACTCCCTGTGCCTGGGTAAGCATTCAGGACAACTGAGGCAATCTATTGCTTTCCTTTACTGTGCTACCACCCTGAAGTGCCCAGGGATGGAGAAAAACAATCAATGTGAATATATATGCATTTTAAAAAGCATCATACTACTGCTATTGTTTTACATTCAGCTTTTTCTGAAGTGATATATTATGAGCATTTTTCCATTTCCTTTTAAAAAGCTTTAATCCATTCTGTAGTATTCTGTCATATGGATGTACCATACCTTTTAAGTAACCCCCTTCTGAGGGTAGGTTTGCTTCATTAATTTTCTCTATTATAAATAATTCTGTACTGATTTTTTATCCATTGTTCATCTTTTATTGCCTTCATGTATAGAGCCAGAAATTTCTGATTTGGAAGTTGTGTGTCATAAGTACAAAGGGTTAAGAACCACTGCAGAATTTTGTAATTATAATAGAAACTCTAGAATAACTACAGCCAGTATTCATAAATACATTCCGTCCCAAAAAGTTAAAACTGGCAGACTTCCTTTGTTAAAAAATCCATCCAAAAATATGCTTTAAAGCATTTGTCTCAAAGATGTTGAGGTACAAACAATAACTCTACAAAAATGATTTGCCTGTTTCCACAGTAAATTTTGGTTATAAAGACACTGATGTGTTGGCTTATAGGACTGTTCTGGTGCCTGATACACAAAAGGATAAATAAATATTTTGAATCAATGAATGATTAAATGATGAAGCATTCACTTATAAGCAGAGGCCACTCAATATAAGTTAAATCGTATTGGTTAAAGAGAAATAACTAATATCTCATATTTTGGGGTAATATATACATTGCTGGAGTGCTGGAGTGTATTTGCTTTTCATATGTTCCCTGGTGTCAGGCTGAACATAAACTATGATGTTAGAGTTAGTCCCCAGGGGTGAGAGCAGAACATCTGAGAGATACTCTTAGCCATCATATTGAGACCATCTGCATTAAAACCATCCACTCCAACTCTTTCCTCATGATGGCTCCTAGACTGCTAAATCATGAGTGATTTCTGCTAAAAGGATCTCCTTCCATTAAACAATAGTACGAGAAGCCATCACTGTGGGTCAGGGATGCTCAATCTCTGCTGAATTTCCTGGGGAATTTTTTAAAAGAAGATAACTAAAAAACAAACAAACAAACAAAACTATCAATGTCCAGGTCTCATCTCAGGATAATCAGAGCCACTGGGGCAGGAAGAGGGGTGGGCATCAGTTCTTTATACAAGGTCCTCCAACGTACCACCACAGTTAAGGAGCATTGCTTTACAGAATGTAAACAGCCAACATAATACAACTTTAGGCACCCTATGACCTCAAGAGAACTGTGACATCAAAACATCTTCCAGGCATCACTTTGCTACGTAGAGACAGATTCATAGTTCTTTCAGGCATTGATTAGTTCTGTAAGTACTAGAAGTAATATACCTCTCCAGAAGCCATTAGTGAATCCTGTCAAGTTGCAAACCTATGGAATAATTTGGCAAAGAGTGACGAAGTTCCAAACTGGAATACCTGGTGGGCAATCTTGATGCTAACATGTCATTGGGATGAAATGGAACTATGGTACAAGTTATTTTTGGATTTCCAACATCTTTTTATAGTAACTACTAAATTGGAATGAAAATGCTTGCACTCAAATTGATAGTGCCTTTAAGTGGCAAGAAAATCTTTTCTCAGCTCCTTTGGGCCCATTATCTCTGAGGTTTCTGTGATGTAAATTGTACCTTCCTGCAGAAAGCCACCATCCCTGAAGGCTGACAGTTCATCCCACTGAGAGTCAAGTAAACTGGCAGTCACAACCTGCTCAAATTCCATAACTGAATAATGGAGGTGTGGAATTTTGACCTTGGACTGAGTTAATTATTTAATTTACTTTATTATAGAAATATATAAAAGTAAGTATGTATACAATAAATATACTTCAATATATGCCATCAAATTTATATGTATCATATATAAGTCTTCCAGCAGGCTATCTACTGTGGATATTATATATAGTAAGGCTCATATTTTGAACATAAATAAGTGTACATTTTTAAAAGTAAACAATTTTCATCACCCATGCTAAGTAGTTATTAAACAAATATTTAAAGATGATCAGTTTGAACGGACACTACACAATTAGACTGCCTAGGCTGTCCATCTGAGTCAATCCACTCTTAGCCATTGCCAAAACCTGTCATATGAATGAATGCGGATGTCTGCACTTTCGGAACGAAGTTATCCAAACCTTCATTTCTAATACTAGTCTTTAACTATCATGTGTCTTGAGTGTCGATTGTGGGTGAGTTATTACGGCAGAGGAAACTGACTCTGCCAAATCGTTTCTCCCCCTTCCAAAATACAGAGTTGTTAATGAGTAGCAGCTGCCCAGCCAAAACTGACATTCCTGAGTCCCTGTGGGACCCTGTGACTCATTCTTGCCAATGGGATGTGTGTGAGGCAATGGGCCCAATGTGGTTGAGGAGTCAATGTGACTTCTCCAACCACTCTTTCCACAGAGTGTGCACACAGACATGGGAAGCCACATATTGAAGATGACAGAACTGCAAGATGGAAAAAGACTAGGTTTTCTGACTCACTACTTGGAAGAAGGCTAGTCATAAGCCAAGGATATCTATTTTGGACTTTATTGAATGAGGAATACATTTCTATAATCTTTGGACCACTATGCACATTAAGTGTTTTTACAGAAGCTAGCATTACACTCATACACATGCTATATCTGTCCCTATTACAACTGATAAAAAACCTTTGAGTGACGCTTCTTCAAAAACTTTCTTGTGACTGGTCTGAAACATGTGTGACTTCTAGTAACTGTAAATAAGAGATTTAATGGGAAGGCATATTTTGCAATAGCTGACATTTAGAAGCATAAATATATTTAAAAAGAATAAAAGTATTTCTTACTCAGGTGTTTTAAATCTCTTATGAAAATAAATTTTGAGTTTAGTAATTAGAGTTAACTTGTTTCGAAATGAAAATTTGGTTTCATATCTTCTGTTAACTGGAAATTAGCTCACCGCTATAGTTCTAAATATGGTATATATTCCCTCATATGTATTCTTTCAGATTTTTTCATAGAATCATTTTAACACAGTATCTATTTTAAGAAAAATAAATGAGTCATGTTCTATTGCTTCTCCAAATGTGAAAAAAAAATTTATATGAAAATATACACATTAAAATTCAATATACTGCCAATAAGATTCCTTTTCTGGGAGAGGGTTCTACCTGAGAACCAGGAAGAAAAACAAGAGATTTTACGGTAACACTATGTCAGTATCAAGGAAAGCTAGCAACAGAGCAAAAGAATCTCTGATGGCCTTCAGAGCTCTGAAAACCACTAGAAACCTTCCCATCTATGCAATAACAAGGCAAGGCAAGCAGTTATCACAAAGAAATACTGCAAGGCAAGGCTGCATTCTGATTCATGGTCTTTTGAATAACTAGATACTTGTCTCTAGACAAACACTAAACCTCTTTTGGTCTCATTTTTCTCATTTGTGTGCCATAAATAAGAATAGGTAATTCGTATGGTCCCTTCAGATTCAAAACAAAACTTCTGTGAAAGTTTATCACTTCCCTAGAAAAAGACCTTTGTGAGGTGTGGGTACCTGGTAGATCTAAAAGTCCAAGGACTGCACAAGCATGAATCGGATGGCCAGTCTTCCTGGGCAGCTACCATAGCCATAGTCCTTCAGTTGCACCTGGGAAACGATGTAATGGTGTAAATGCAGGGACCAGGAAACATGATTATATTACTTGGCAAACAGGTTTCTCAGGCATGTAGTCATTGTAATGTAAGCAGTAACCTCTGAAAGAACGTTTTTTTCCTTCAAAAATGTTTCCGTTTGTATTTATTCAGGAATTGAAAATATGAACATTTCACTTAGGACCACCTCAGATGATAAACATTTCTGGAAATTTTATTAACATTTGAAGCATTACTGTTAGAACAAACCAAATAATTAAATGGCAGAAGGTATATTACATCAGATCTGCTCATGCAGATTTTCAGGTAATCAAAACTCACTTTCAAACATTTTTTAAAAAATCAATGGATAAAGCAGAGAAGTCATTTCCTCTGAAAAAATTAGGCTTATATCTCTTCATGGGACTGAAGCTGGGCACTGTCATATGAATAAATAAGATCAATAATGGTACATCCATAAACAGCCACTCCTGGAATTTCAAGACCTTAGAAAATGTTGTAAACAGACACACAAACACAAACACAACACACACACACACACACACAAACACACATACGGTATTGAAATAAATATTTAAGCCATGCCTGCAAAGCCTTCAGCAACAGAGTTCATAATGGAAATGATAGACCTTTAATGATAGAAACATTAGCAGACCGTGTAAGAATATTGTAAATCATTTCTAAGTAACAATATTGATAAGACAAGCCTTTCAAAACCACCCAGGACACCTCTTTAGCTAATTAAAACCAGAGAGTGGCTATGGCTCTTTTGTCATTCACAATATTGTAGCTCTGATCATCCCACAGTGAATGATTTTACTTCAGTAATAACCCTGATCCAACATTCAGTTAGCAATTACCACATCAGACTTTATCTACTGGTAACAACTAGTTCGGAAGATATTGCCCTGCATGCATTAATTTCATCATGCTAATAAAGTTCCCTGTTATAAAATGCAAAAACATATTAACCTGTCTAATGCAATATAAGAAACATATATATCTTTCTTGCAAAATGATACACCAGCATTTCGTTTCTATTTCAAGACTTAAGTGGGTAAAGTATATTAGAACAGAAAGTAACAAGCTATAATCTTCAGTGAACACAATAACATAAATAAGTGCCAAAAAATTTTCCTGTAATTGCAGCTATTGTAATTTGTAAACATTCTATTACCTTGGAATTTGCATAACAATGCAAGACTGCTCATTTCTAAACACTGAACACTGAAATAGAAGTATATCCATCTCGTCTTTTCTGCAAAATTCAGGGAGGCCACTGCTGGCTCCAGTTAACTCTCTTGGAGCACCTAGCACATGTGGACCGATGGAAACATTTAATAAAGACGCAGACGTGACTGAAAATGACCAGCCAGGATCTCCAGGACACAATCTCTGTCATAGAGCAAGAAATCTATAAGGACTTGTTGAATGAAGTAGGAGGGGAGCTCTATTGTTTTACTCAAGAGTAATAAGCTCTATTTATAGGTCCAGGATCTATCCTGGAGACCCTTTTCCCTTCCGCCCTCCTTTTGCCCTCCTGAGCTTGTACAGGTACCATCTCTATGTCTAAGTGAGGAATTCAAAGCAGGGATGCCTCATTTTCCCCTTGATTAGCACCCCTCACCTCTACTTCACTAACTTTCGTGTCCTACATTGATGATGGGACAAATTGGCATGGTCTATTTCTTCCCCTTCAACCCCAAGTTCCCTACTGGCTTGTTCTGCTTTCAGAATATTAAATGTGAAGAGCTTACTAATTGTTAAAATCTCAGTGGAAAAATGAGTCATGTGACTAAAACTAATATGTGGCCTTTCTCTCTTCTGTCTCCAAGGACTCATCCAAAACTGTCAACTCTTTATTAAAGCAACGCCTTGACTTTCTAGAGAAAATGACTTCACGGTGTTACTGCCAACCGTGGGAAGCCCAGTCATTCTAACGAATTTTTTTAAGTGTCTGCAGCTTAATTAAACCCTAAGCAAATTAAACACATCACCCTCTTCTGCAGGTAAAGCAGAACGTTCATATACCCACTGTTGGGGCAGTTCAATGCATCTGTACACAAAGAGCCTGGCCTCTTCCCTGGAACACTGGTCAAAGGAAAGCATTGTACAAGCTAAAGCCCATCCCCATTCAGCACCTGGGGGTTTGTCCACACCAACCAGGCAGGATTGCTCAGCTCTCTAGGGAAATGTGGCATTCACACATACAATATAGTACTGGCTGGAGGCCTAGCAAACAGTCACAGAAGTGCGGAGGATTTATAGACTGAAAATGAGCACATAGACAGCAGCTCCGAGTTCTCTCAGAAAACATGTGTGCGGCGACTGAACTGTGGGAGGCCTATGTGGGGCCCCCAGAGCTTGGCAGAACCTCTAGTGGGGACCCAGTGTGTATGTGAACATATCAGAGCTATAAATCTGGTAACAAACACTCCTTTGTGACCTTATGAAGATTGTGAAAGACAAAGGCATTTTAAGATTGCAATGTCAGGAAAGAGGGAGGCCATTTGGAAAGCTGACTTTCATATTGCTGATTCTCAACTGCTTCTAGGCTTCTTGGGTATACGTAGAAAAAGCCAGAGTGGGGCTTCACCTACAGCCCCACAAGACAGCTATGTCCACAAGGCATGACCTTCTGGAGAGAGCCGCACCTCTGAAGGTGAACACATTAATTTGATGACAGTTTCTTGTTCAGTTCAAAACACTGGCCAAGGACATCCCTTTAAAATTTATAATGAAACTAAAAAAAAATTATCCAGCCAAAATTTTACCCCATTTCATTAAATTTTATAGTCTTCATTAATTACAGGGTCATACTCAGAAAGCAACAAGTAGGCTACAAGAAGGAAACAGGGGTGGAGGTGGCAGAGCCCAGTAGACAATTAATTGACTGTACTTTGCAATTCAGGACAAAACATTTTATTTACTTGTCCCAACACATACTTAGCCTGCCCTCTGGGCTTTCATAGCTCTTTCATTCTGGAATCCAATTCCAGAGTTTATGGCCTCCAAGGTTTATGGTCCTTCCCAAGGAAGCTCTCTTCACCTATTAATATGCATCATGGTTCTTCTTCTCAGAAGGGTGGTTCTTGTGAAAGCTAAGCAATTTTTATGTAATACACACCTGAATGGGAACTTTACAATGGATTTGGGTAAGACTTTTGTTTTTTGGTGTCAGTTTTACCTGTCGTTATTAAAGAGGTAAAGAAGAAAGAGGGGAAAGGAAGAGATAAAAATAATCCTACTGTAATTTTCATATCAAATAGAGTCCCCTATTGCTTGTCTTGTGGTTTCTGGGCAGACTATTGGTCTGAAATTCTAGACCATTAACAGTTCATTTGTCTATACTTAATTTTACAATGACACCAGAAAGAACAGCAAAAATAACAATGAAGAAAACTCACAGGCCTATTGCTCTGAAACTAAAGTTGCCAGTCATTTTATTTCCCAGCATTTCTCAAGCCCATTTCTTCATTCACCAGCAACTCACCCACCATTATTAGAGAGGATTTTTTACCACCCAGGAAAGCAAATGCTGTCATCCTGATTTTACTGCTCAGAAGATACTTGTCAATTAAAATCACCTCCAGGTCTTAGCTAGGAACAAAGACCAAATTCCAGAGATTCCCCTTGTCTTTCCCAAAATAGAGTTAGAGCTCATTTCCTAAATTTGTTCTGCCATTTACATTTGGCCACACTGCAACTTGTAGACATGGGGTTACTATTCACATATTAAAACTTGCTTATTTCCAAATAAACATCTGTAACTTTAAATGCTCATATAGCCACTATATAGATTTAACTAATTCTAAGATATATCTTATATCTTATGTAAGATATATCTTGAGTAAGCATATTAAACAAATGCCTTTTCAAGTAAGAACTATTTTCATTGCTGCCTTCTGGTTTCTGAGTCATCTCTGTCTCACTCTTATAACTACATGTCTCCCAAAAGCCACCTAGTACCATAACATACGTATATATTTATAAAATGCTAGTAACATTTCATTCCTGCCTCTTTGATATGAAGGTCTTGGAAATACATGTTTTCTCTGGACTGCTGTTTTTAACAATAATAGAAAGAAAGGAGTAATAACAATCATGGCAAATATTCCTTGAGTTTTCATAATGTACCAGGCACTGAGCTAAGCATCTTTCAACATACACAATCTCACTTAATTCTTAATACTCCTGTCTAGAAGGTAGGTACTATTATGATTATTACTATTTTTTACAGAGGAATAAACTAAGGCATTTGCCTGTGTTCCAGGGATAGCCAAGGATTCAAACTTACATCTTTCCAGTTTCAGCATCCAAGCTCTAAACTGCTATATACCAGGGCATAGAAATAGGACTACCAGCCATAGCTTTGATTCAGAGGAAAAAAAAAAACAAAAACATGGCACAAATGTGTATAACATATTTAGATAGTATAGTTTAAAACTACAAATATTTTTTCTCTTTGCCAGTATAATACATGCATAATTTGTGAATTAAAACTTAATTGAGCGCACCACAATTGGAAAATTACAAAATACTTAAAACTTACATCAATTCAGCCTCCATTCCATTATCAAGAGAGAGGCTGTTTATGCATTCCTATTCTGGCAATTAAGGACAACTATGTTTTCTAAAGTGAAGGTTATTTTGACTTTGATAAGTATATAGCTCACTGTCTGATCATAAAGGGCCAGAGCTGAAGATGAATAACAGAGTACTTTGTCCTTCACTTCAGGCATGATGGCTGGACCTCTGTGGTTGTAAATCTTCCAATATTTGATGGCCACAGTGTCAGCAGCAAAATGATGCATAATAAACACAACAATACATTATATGCCACTTCTTGATTTGGTGCCAAGTCAGGGAAGGAAACAGTCTACTTTTGAATGGGTGTTCTGAAATAATACATAGACAGTGTGTATTGGAGAGATCTGAAGAGGAAAACTCAAGCTGGTTTTTCATCCCACAGTCTCCAAACTATTATTCTTTGAAACTGACTATCTGGAGTGATGTGAACCCCTCTACCACCACTGTTGGGTTGATATCAGGAAGCACAGAGTCCACAGGCTTTCATCTAGCCAGGAAAAAGGAAACAGAGCTTATTTTGAACAGGAAGGAAAAAAGATATGTGATGAAAGTCAAAGAAACAAGCTGCCTAAATCCTTGACAAAGTAGAGATGAAAGGAATGAGCTTGTGAAATAATGTGGATACCTAAAAATCATGTTTCAATCATGTTTTTAATTGTCCATTCTATCCAGAACGTTTGTTGCAAAGTCTAAAACCTTCCTTTACAATGAAAAGAGAAAATACCGTTCTAAGGCATGCATCTATAAAACGGTATTTCTCAGGCACTAAGGAAAATGCAAGCTCTAGAAAAGGAGTGATGTGGGAGAGGCACACATGGCTTCAACTGTGACAGCTGTCTCCCCATGCAACCAAATCAGAGACTGCTGGTGCAAGTGGGGACCTCAGAAGTCACTGGGTCCAACCCTGACTTTTTATAGATGACAGGCTTAAAACTGTTAAGTAACGTGCCCAAGGTCATGCTTGGGGTTGTATTGTCTGAATAACAAATGGCAAATGGACAAAAACAAAAGAGATCATAGTCTAAGTTACTCAAAGACTTTCTATAAGGAAAATGGTGGTAATTATGGTCCCTAAGTCCACTTATCTACCAAAGCTTAATATAAGACATCCAAGAAATATATATAGATACATATATAATCTATATATGTATGATTGTGTGTGTATACATATATGTATAGATATGTATATGTGTGTGTATATATATATATATACACACACACACATTTCCTAAAGCAGGAATTTTTTTTTTAAATCAGATATTCTGTGAGACATACTTGCTTTATTCAGTATCAGTTTAGGGTTTCTCACTCAGTTGTTCTTTCTAGAAAGGATATTTGTAAAGTCCAGGATTTATTCTCAAGGAGTAAAAGCAAAACCAAACATTTGTGTCCCTTTCATTTGAATCTCATGTCGAGTCTGTAAGTGCAAAAGCACTTACATATCAGTCAACCAAATTCTTACTGTCAAATCTAGATGTACAGAGCTTGCAATAGAGAAATGTAGATACTTTCTAGTTTCTCTGCATTCTACCATCTTACCCCAGGAGCTCAAAAATGACTCTACCCTTTTCTGGAAAATAGTACAAAGGAAAATTCCTGGGTTGTTTGGCTTCTCATAGTCCCAGAACTTGGGCTATATCTGAAAGTTCCAGTTGACATCTGTCCAGCACTGAACACTGGCTCCAATTCACAAGATGGCCTACCCAAGACTAATCTCCATCTACAAGTACCCTTGGAAGATGGGATGGACTCCATACAGGCCAGAGGCTGTGCATGCTCCCTGCAAATCTTGGAACTTCACCCAGGAAACATTAAGGTGGACATTCAAAATGGTAAAAAGACTCCTTCTGGCCTAAGCATCCCCTCACACACCTCTCAATGCCATAACTTACCCATAAAACAATCAGAGTTCAAGACGATAATTATTTCCCTAAGGCCAAGTTCACTATGATCTGGTCTCCAAGAACTTCTCGTTATTATCAACTACTGTGGGCCAATCCCAACTATATAATCTTTATAAGTGTTATATTCATTCATATTTCTATAAGTAATATATCTTCTTATTGCCTGCACCCTGGGCAAATTGCCTTCATATTTCCCACTCCCACCCCAGCCTGGAGAAATAGGCAACATTCAAATTGTTCTCTCAGCCCTCATCCCTCTAATGATCACCAACAAAATCCTACCTGCAACCAGGACTCTCACTTCGGAGTATAGTTTCTGAGATAAATCAAAATTTTTCTTCTCCTTCTTCCCATCCTTTCTTGGTCTTCATTTCATACAGATAATAGCATGTAGAAAAAACATGAAAGGAAAAGTGATATTCACTGAAGAGCAACTCAAGGCATATGTGTGGACACAGGGAGAGGCAACCCCTCCCAATCGGGTGGGTGTGGGTGATAGGTCATGTGTGTATAACCTCAGATCTTTGTTAGCACCAGCAGCTGGAACACACTTCTCTCTACAAATAGCAGGCTCCTGGAGTTTCTCAGCATCAGCAACAAGAGAACCTGTCAAAGAAGTGGGCCGGAGATATCGCCCTGCTTCTCATACACATAACTGAAAAAAAAGCAAAAGAAAAATATCATTTCACTGCCAGCCTAGTTTGAGTCTATATATATATATATATATATATATATATATAGTATATATATATATATATATATATACTATATATATATATATATATATATATATATATAGACTCATATATATATATATGGGGGGCAATTATGTGTACCGGACTACAGTACTGGCCAGACCCCATGAACACCTAAGGATGAATGAGGCCCAGCCCCGCCCTCACGGATATAACAATTTAGACAGAAAGATTTACATAAACGTTCATATGACTAGCTACAAATTCCTAAGCCAATGTCCAAATTAATGTACCAAGAACAACCCTAAAATAGAATAATTTTTATTTTTTCTTTTAAATAAATATTCCACGTGAAAGCTATCTATTTCAAAACACTTGCCATAATAAGGCAACACATTCTAATTCACAGTTCTGTTTTTCAAGTTTTGAATCTCATTGTAACTGCTTTCTGAGTAGTTGCGCAAGGAGGGGGGAAAACAGGAGTGGGGAAGGGAGGAGTATTTTCTCCCTAAAATTGTTTAGAATTATAGACTTGTGATGGTAATACAAAAGACACTGTATCTTAATCAGTTCTATTTCTTTAAACATTTCTATAGACAATATATCTTCTTATTGCCTGCACCCTGGGTAAACTGCCTTCATATCCCCCGCTGCCCAGCCTCTGCCTGCCACTGTTTCTGAAGGGTGTATTCATCCCAATAGGCTCAATGATGTCCAATCTATTCTTTTCACCAGATGCAGAGTCAAATCTAATGAATAAAACAGAGGGTCAAGCCTGGCAATACTACTATAGGGCAGAAAGCAAGTATGGCTTTACACTGAGAGTGTGGTTGTCAAATGCTGCCCCTGACAGCAATACCACCAGAAGAATCACTTCAATGTTTTAAGCAAAAACAGAATTGTTGAAATAGGTGTATAATCTCCTATGTTAATCTAGGCAGACCATGAACAAAAGACTGCAAAATCTCAGTGATACAATGCAAAAAAAAAAAAAATCAATTTCTCACCCCTGCTGTATTTTTCACATGGATTATCACAAGGACTCTACTCCTTGTGATATCGCACAGGTCTAGGCTGACACAAGCCCCATCTCAACATTTGCTTCCATGATGGTGGTGGCAGTGTAAGTGGATCTTTTAAAGCTTTCTCCTGGGAGTGACACAAGTCACGTCTGCTCACATTCCATTAGTTAAATAAAGTCACATGGCATACCCAACTTCCACAGTGTTGGAGGAGTAGAACCGTGCCAGGTTTTTGGCAGGAGAAAGGCCAGAATATTGGTGGGTAGCCTCTGACTAACGCCTCCCATGTATTATCATTCCTTAAAGAGGCCAAGAATCATTTGCATGTAAATTTTGGAAAATTAGTTTTAAAAAACATCCTCACTATTATATGGTCACTACCATGTGTTAGATTTCTTTACATGCCAGAGCTACAACACAGTTGAAGAAGCCATTTATTTTTATTTTTATTTATTTATTTTTTTACCCAGGCTGGAGAGCAGTGTTTTCATCTGGGCTCACTGCAACCTCCGCCTCCCAGTCTCAAGCAATTCTGCTGCCTCAGCCTCGAGGTACCTGGGACTACAGGTACACACCAATACGCCTGGCTAATTTTTTTTTTTTTTTTTTTTTTGGTTGAGCTGAGATTTTGCCATATTGCCCAGGCTATTCTTGGACTCCTAGGCTCGAGTGATCCACCCACCTTGGCCTCCCAAAGTGCTAGGATTACAGGCGGAAGCCACCACACCCAGCCTCAAGAAGCCATCTTAATGCTTGTGGTTCACTTGTAAGGTGCAGGCAGGTTTGTGAGAGGCATCTGTATGACTGACAGGGGATGCAGCGTGGCATAAAGGAGGTAGGAAGGAAGCTGCCATTCCAGGTGGACTCACCTGTGCCAAGCACTGCTTTACACTGTACACACAGTATCTCATTTACTCATCCCAACAGCCCTGCAAGGTAGGTGTCACTATCCTCATTTAAAAACTGACAGAAATGGAGACATAGCTTAAAATACACTGTGCCAGCCAATGTCATGGGTAATAATGTTCAAACTCAGATCTGCCTAGTTCCAGAAGCCATGGAGTGGGTCACGTGAGGAAGTCCAAATGATACAAATTCCCTTATTACTTTATCTGCATCCCTTTTATAGCCCTTCTAATGAGGCAACTGATTTTAAAATGAGAATGTGCTAAGCTCTCTAAGAATAGGGACTTAGCTCCATTCATCTTTGTCTGACTGGTAATGACTAGCAAATACTCTAGCACATAGTAGGTGCTCAAGAAAATATTAATTGTTAAATGCATGTTGAAAGTCAAGGCTATGCTCCAAAGCAATATTCCCTTTCTCTTCTCCTGCACAGCACATGAAAGGAGATTGACAAGATGAAATGTTTCCTTAGTGATTCTCAAGAAAGGCAAAGCTGTCAACATTTTCTTTTGTCAAGAGTGTTCACTAAGCAAGAAAATAGAGAGTAGCTCCCACAACGCAGACCTGAACGTGAAGATAATGGTCAGCAGGGCTCTGCAAGCTGTCTGAGTTCCCACTCCCAATAAGCTTTCGATAGGAACTTGCCTGCCAGAGAAACAGAGGGAACCTCATTTTGCTAGGAGACAACACACAGCTGCATAGTTCCATACTCCGCTTAATCCCAGAGACAAATTCACAAGTTGTCCTAAATGTATCACTCTACTGGGAACTCTTTTTTCTTTTCTATTTCCAACCAGTGTCTGCCATTTGATATATCACAAATAAATCATGTTTCTCTCTGTCTGTCTGACACACACACACACACACACACACACACACACACAGGCACACACAGAAATACACACACAACCTTTCTATCTTAAAAAGGTTACATTCATTTTGGGTCTCCTCTAAAACTGCCATGCAGGCCACTGGAAGTCACAACATGATATTGTTTCTTTACAAAGATACTATGATTTTCTCCTGTGGTGAAGGATTACTGCGGGCACAGCTCCATCCAAGAATCCTTTCTAAGCTTTTTCTTTTAAGCACATAAGCTATGCTTTTAATTGGGCATTTCATTAGAGTAGAATGAGGCGTAAAGGAAAACAAAATGGTCTGTAGTCATTTGTTTCAAGGAGATCATTCCAGTCATCAACGTCTGAACCCTGCCGAAGTCGTTTCAATTTTTCTTCTCAACCATGGATAAAGCAATGTTGACAACACATATTTCTCTCTGTCAAAACATTCCACTTACTTGGCAATCTATAGACAGTTTGAGAGTCGTAGCACCAACAAGCAGCGCTGGAGCATTCTTCCTATTATTTTAAAATCAAAATGGCACGTGCCTCGTGAGAGGGTTACCATGTGGGCCGAGATCCAAATTGAAAAGAAAAACGCTAACAGAGTCAGCAAGTAAACAGGGCACTGTAAATAACAAGCCTCATTACTTAGCCACAGAGAAAGATGGGCCAGCCTGCGTCCCATTTCATTGTGAGGGCTTGATCCTGTTGCCCTTAGATTTCAGTCTCCTGGGAGGCCACTCCGGGATTTCTGTGAGATGTGTGCTCAGTTAAAGTACCAAGCTTAGGTTCACAATTGTGAAACATGTTTCATACCATGGGATCTAAGTAAATGATGATTTTTGGCTGGGAGTGAGCAGAGGAAAAAGTAAAATCACTGGTTAAAGAATTGTATCCAAATACCAGAGAAAGATGGGCCCTCTAGATGTGCCTTACATAGGACAAAGAACGGGAGACCAAAATTAGACACACACTGACAAAACTGCTTATGGATCCCACAGATGACTATGGTGTAATCATCTCAAAGTGACTCATTTTCAGTGAGAAATATTTAAAAGAAATAATGCTGGAGAAAATGGCAACGTGCTGCCCAATAATGGCCTCAGGCTGCAAGATAGATACTGCAGGGCATCCAGGCCACAGCACTGGCAGAAAACAAACATTGAAGCAAAGCTGAAACACTTATTGTCAAGGCCAGAGAACATTTACCAGTCAGGAGGTTCAGATTCATGGGCATTATTGTTAAAGCTCGTGGGAGAAATACACCCAAAAAGCAGCAAAGAGAGTCGATAAAAACCCTCCAAGCAATCACCAGCTCACCAATCGGCAGCCACACATCTCCCCAGGCTCTCAGGGGAGAAGGCACTTTACCAATTACTGCTGATTGGCTGGGTTAGTGAAATTGCTCAGACCTCCTACCATTCACCTCCAGCCTATCTTTCAATATATCTTGCTGGGGTTTGCTGAACTTATTTTCATCCATTTATAAAAGGTCAACTAGGCTATGTGTTGACTTGACAGTAGTAAGTGCTTCTCCTATAATCCCTGATGATATTAGTCTGGCGGGGTTTCACAAGTGTGCGGTTGATCTTTCTTAAAAAATTCCATGATTTGCGAAGTTGGTACCAGCTGTTATCACTTTAATAGAGATCACTGTATAATTTCAAAATATCTTACTTTCTCTAAAACTATTCTGATGCTCAAAACTGTCTGGAGCTCAGAAATGTGCTTCTTGCTTCTGTCTCTTAAATGGATGGGTTAATTAACTGCAGTCATCATGCCATTAAGCTGGGCTATGACCCAGGGATCAGGCTTTACCAAAGCCGCTGCGTTCCGGAATGTTCCTATAGACACACACAGGTATGGACAAGGGGGTATGTGATGATTAATATTGAGTGTCAACTTGACTGAAGGATGCAAAGTATTGTTCAAGATGTGGTTTCATTGCTTGAGCAAATTAACACATCTCCTGGTACCTGGTATGCAGCCATTGATTTGGCAAATGACTTTTTCTCCATGCCTGTCCATAAGGCCCACCAGAAGCAATTCGCCTTCAGCTGACAAAGCCAGCAATATATCTTTGCTGTCCTACCTCAGGGGTATATCAACTCTCTGGCTTTGTGTCATAATCTTGTTTGGAGAGAACTTGATCACTTTTCCCTTCCACAAGATATCACACTGGTCCATTACATTGATGACATTACGCTGATTGGACCCAGTGAGCAAGAAGTAGGAAACACACTGGACTTACTGGTGAAATATTTGCTTGCCAGACGATGGAAAATAAATCCGAATAAACTTCAGGGAGCTTCTACCTCAGCAAAATTTCTAGGGGTCCAGTGGTGTGGGGCCTGTCCAGATATTCCTTCTAAGGTGAAGGATAAGTTGCTGCATTTAGCCCCTCCTACAACCAAGAAAGGGGCCCAACGCCTAGTGGGCCTATTCGGATTTTGGAAAAAACACATTCCTCATTTAGGTGTGTTACTCTGGCCCATTTATCAAGTGACCTGAAAGGCTTCCAGTTTTGACTGGGGTCCAGAACAGAAGAAGGCTCTGCAGCAGGTCCAGGCTGCTGTGTGAGCTGCTCTGCTACTTGGGCCATATGATCCAGCAGATCCAATGGGACTTGAGGTGTCAGTGCCAAATAGGGATGTTGTTTGGAACCTTTGGTAGGCCACCATAGGTGAATCATAGCAGATATCTCTAGGATTTTGGATAAAGGCCCTGCCACCTTCTGCAGATAACTACTCTCCTCTAGAGAGACAGCTCTTGGTCTGTTACTGGGCTTTGGTAGAAACTGAATGTTTGACTATGGGTCATCAAGTCACTGTGTGACCTGAACTGCCTATCATGAACTGGGTGCTTTCTGACCCATCTAGCCATAAAGTGGGTTGTGCACAGCAGCATTCCATTATCAAATGGAAGTGTTATATACGTGATTGGGCTCAAGCAGGTCCTGAGGGCACAAGTAAGTTACATGACGAAGTGGCTCAAATGCCCATGGTCTCCACTCCTGCCATACTGCCTTCTCGCCCTCAGCCTGCACCAATAGCCTCAGGGGGAGTTCCCTATGATCAGTTGACAGAGGAAGAGAAGACTAGGGCCTGATTTACAGATGGCTCTGCATGATATGCCGGCACCACCTGAAAGTGGACAGCTGCAGCACTATAGCTCCTTTCTAGGACATCCCTGAAGGACAGTAGAGAAGGGGAATCTTCTTCCCAGCGGGCAGAACTTCAAACAGTGCACCTGATTGTGCACTTTGCTTGGAAGGTGAAATGGCCAGATGTGCGATTATATACTGATTAACGGGCTGTAGCCAATGGTTTGGCTGGATGGTCAGGGACTTGGAAGAATCATGACTGGAAAATTGGTGACAAAGAAATTTGGGGAAGAGGTATGTGGATGGACCCCTCTGAGTGGTCAAAAACTGTGAAGATATTTGTATCTCATGTGATTGCTCACCAAAGGGTGAACTCAGCAGAGGAGGATTTTAGTAATCAAGTGAATAGGATGACTCGTTCTGTGGACACCACTCAGCCTCTTCCCCAGCAACCCCTGTTATCACCCAATGCCCAATGGGTCCATGAACAAAGTGGCCATGATGGCAGGGACGGAGATTAAGCCTGAGCTCAGCAACGTGGACTTCCACTCACCAAGGCTGACCTGGCTACGGCCAGTGCTGAGCACCCAATTTGCCAGCAGCAGCACAGACCAACACTGAGCCATTGATATGGCACCATTCTTCGGGGTGATCAGCCAGCTACTTGGTGGCAGGTTGATTATATTAGACCTCATCCATCATAGAAAGGGCAGCAGTTTGTCCTCACCAGAATAAACGCTTACTCTGGATATGGGTTTCCATATCCTGCACGCAGTGCTTCTGCCAAGACTACCATTCATGGACTCACAGAATGCCTTATCCACCGTCATGGTATTCCACACAGCATTGCCTCTGACCAAGGCACTTACTTTACAGCTAAAGAAGTGCAGCAGTGGGCTCATGCTCATGGAATTCACTGGTCTTACCATGTTCCCCATCATCCTGAAGCAGCTGTATTGATAAAACAGTGGAATGGCCTTTTAAAGTCACAATTACAATGCCAACTAGGTGACAATACTTTGCAGGCCTGGGGCAAAGTTCTCCAGAAAGCCGTTTATGCTCTGCATCAGCATCCAATATCTGGTACTGTTTCTCCCATAGCCAGGATTCATGGGTCAAGGAATCAAGGGGTGGAAGTGGAAGTGGCACCACTCACCATCACCCCTAGTGACCCACCGGCAAAATTTTGCTTCCTGTTCCCACAATATTACGTTCTGCTGGCCTAGAGGTCTTAGCTCCAGAGGGAGGAATGTTGCCACCAGGAGACACAACAATGGTTCCATTACACTGGAAGTTAAGATTGCCACCTGGCCACTTTGGGCTCCTCCCACCTCTAAGTCAACAGGCTAAGAAGGGAGTTACAGTGTTGGCTAGGGTGGTTGACCAGGACTATCAAGATGAAATCAGTCTACTACTCCACAAAGGAGGTAAGGAAGAGTATGTGTGGAATACAGGAGATCCCTTAGGGCATCTCTTAGTATTACCATAACCTGTGATTAAGGTCAATGGGAAACTACATCAGCCCAATCCAGGCAGGACTACAAATGACTCAAAACCTTCAGGATGAAAGTTTGGGTCACTCCATCAGGTAAAAAACCACATCCTGCTGAGATGCTTGCTGAAGGCAAAGGGAATACAGAATGCGTATTAGAAGAAGGTAGTCATTAATACCAGCTATGACCACATGACCAGCTGCAGAAACAAGGACTGTAATTGTCATGAGTATTTCCTCTTTATTTTGTTAAGAACATGTTTGTGCATGTATATACTTGTAATATGAAAATATCTTCATTTTATTTCTTTTTCCTTTATCATGTGACATAAGATTTATTGACTTTATATCACCATGTACATGTTGTTAATTTTATGTAATAGCATTTAGGTTAAGGATTAGTGGGCTTCCAGTTGTATGAAGGATAGCTGTATTATATTAGGCAAAATTATGACCTTACTGTCTTTATTTGAAGATTATGTATGATTTCAGGAGATGTGTATGGGTTGAAGTTGACAAGAGGTGGACTTGTGATAGTTAGTACTGAGTGTCAGCTTGATTCAATTGAAGGACGCAAAGTATTTTTCCTGGGTGTGTCTGTGAGGGTGTTGCCAAAGGAGATTAACATTTGAGTCAGTGGACTGGGAGAGGCAGACCCACCCTCAGTCTGGGTGGGCACCATCTAATCAGCTGCCAGAGCACCCAGAATAAAAGCAGGCAGAATAATGCGGAAAGACTAGACAGCTTTATCTTCTGGCCTACAACTTTCTCCCATGCTGGATGGTTCCTTCCCTTAAACATGGGACTCCAAGTCCTTTAGCTTTAGGACTCTGGACCTTTGACCACAGACTAAAGGCTGCACTGTCAGCTTCCCTATTTTTGAGGTTTTGGGACTCGGACTGGCTTCCTTGCTCCTCAGTTTGCAGGTGGCCTATTGTGGAACTTCACCTTGTAACTGTGTGAGTCAATTCTCCTTAATAAACTTTCCTTTATACATACATCTATCCTATTGTGTCCCTGTAGAGAACCCTGACTAACACAGCATACCTTGGCAATTTTCTCTTTTCTTTTTTTTTTTTTTTTTTTTTTGAAACAGAGTCTTGCTCTGTCACCCAGGCTGGAGTGCAGTGGCACAATCTCAGCTCACTGCAGCCTCCGCCTCCCAGGTTCAAGCGATTCTCCTGCCTCAGCCTCCCAAGTAGCTGGGATTACAGGTGTGCACCACAACGCCCGGCTAATTTTTGTATTTCTAGCAGAGATGGGGTTTCACCATGTTGGCCAGGGTGGTCTCAAACTCCTGACCTCAGGTGATCTGCCCACCCTGGCCTCCCAAAGTGCTGGGATTACAGGTGTGAGCCACCGCGCCCAGACTTCATTCTCTCATGAGGAGGAACAATTGGATAGTAACTAACTGGTGGGGCAGAAGGTGGTGGCCACTTAAACGCCACTCATACAGTTTGAGTTAATTTGGGAATTCAATAGCAAAGGCAAAGGTAAGGGAGAACAGTAAAAATTAAGAAGTTAATTAAAAAATAATTAATAGTTTAATTAAGTCCCACCTATTTATCTCATACACATAAATGAGTAAATACTGCTATGTCCCAATAAACATTATTAACACTAAAATTTGAATTTCACGTAATTTTTATGTATCCCTGTATATTGCTCTTCCTCTGTTGTTGTTTTTTTTTCAATCATCTAAAAATGTAAAAATCATTCTTAGCTCTGGGGCCATGCCAAACAGGCAGTAGGCTGGATTTCACCCACAGACCAAATTTTGCTGACCCCTGTCCTAAAAAACTGAGACTGACCATGAGTGTATGTGTGTGTGCATGCACACATGCAAATGTGTTAAACTAGATCTGAAGACAATTCCAAAGAAGCTCCTATGTGTTTAGCAGGAGTGATCTCATTGCAAAAAGATGATAGCTTCCCAACTGATTATACTGAAATGAAAAAATTATTGCAATACATAAGCTCCTTGGGGGCAGAGACTATGTCTTACACATTTTAGTTTTCCTCACTTGCCTTACAAATAGTCCACATTCAATTTATTTTTTGTCAATTGAATGCGTTTTAATGAGTTTGTTAAAAGCCATCTCATTATGTGATAGTCATCCCTTGAATACTAACTAATAATTCAATGATTTCTGAACAATTTAGATCAATATACTTTTAAAAGAGTATTAAAATATTATCCAACAGTAACATTTGATTTATTCCTTAGCAATTTCAAACTGCAAAATTATGTTTTAAAAACATCTTATAATTACTGGAAAACTAAAATCATTCATTCCTGTTCCTACCATGCTATCAAAAGTATAGTTGACAGACAATAGGAATATACTATTCCAGCTTCAAGCTTCCAATCACGTTACATAGCCCTATATGTGAGATGAAGTCAAAAGATAAATCGGGTTTTGACTCAACATCCACACTCTTTCTACAGACTTTTAGTGTGACCCTCACTCAGAGTCAGAACTATAGATGCCTCAGAAAGTATATACAGCATCTCAACGTCTCAGGCTGATAAGCTCAACACAAGAAACACAAAAAGAAGAGAAAGTCTTGGGTTCTTTCAGTTTCAGGACTTTCACCTTTATCCTAAATTTGGTAGAATGGATCTTAGATCATTTTCTGAAAGATATTTTAGAAGACAAGCTGGGCCCATCAAAATGTTGTCAAAACCTCTCACTTCCTCTCATTTTCCTTTTCCCCTCTCCCTCCCTTTCCCTACTCACTCCCCATAAATACACACACACACACACACACACACACACACACACATATACACACACATGTACATAGACATAAATATATACTTTCTTCCCAGGATGACCAACCTATTATGAAGCTTTCTTAGAAAGTTTCTCTCAGATGCAATTTGGGCCTTGCAAATATTCCGTACAGCACAAGAGGAAGCCATACAAGCCATGCTCCTCCTAAAGAACACTGCCAGTCATTACCATAGAACCTGCTTCACATAGCAACACTCAAGCACATGATGCGGCTTTACATCAGAGAGCCATCCTTAGCTAGTCAACCCAGCCTCCATTTCAGACCAAACTGAAAACCTCTGCACACCTGTGAGACTCACATCCACTCACCCTCACCATATCATACTAGGGAACTTCCAACAACACCCCCGCAGGGAACACCCATGTGTGGTCCTGAGCAAATGGTCAGCTGACTTTACCATATCAGGGAGGGCCACGAGCCAGTCTACAGTGGCTGAATTCCATGTGTGGAGGACAGGCGACAGCGACGGACACCGCAGGGTCTCCTGACAGGGCAGCCTGCTTCCACTTCTGTTTCATACATTCAGGTCTCCACACAGCAGCCAGAGCATGATACTCAAAGCACACACTAGTTCATGCCACTCCCGTTGTCAAAATTTCCCAATGGGGATTTTGGGCTTTCCATTATTCTTAGGATTAAACTTCAAACCTGTCAGCAGAATGAGCTGGATTCTTCTCCACACCCCGGTAGGCTGGCCCACAGGTCTGCATCAATGGGCTCCTCTGCATTCCTGTTTCTGGTTGGCTTGGCCAGTGGGAGGTACCTTATGGGAGTTCCAGAACATGGAGTAAATAAAGGTCTGGTTTTTCCCAGCTTCCTTCTGGTGGTTCACTACAGTTTGGCTGCGTCCCTCCACGGTCAGAAACTGACTCCTTCCCTTGCCCATTTCCCATCCCCAGCTCTGGGGTACTGCACTAATTGTTGCTTTTCCTAAAACACGGCCCACATCAAAATACTCTCCAGGTTACCCAATTTGATTATGTCTTTGGTTTCCTGCCAGAACTCTGGCCAGTGCATGTGGCCTATATGCCCTCTAAATGATCAGACTTCTGCCTCCCACTTTAGCTTTTTCTTATTAAACCCACTCTCACTCATTTACTCCCAGACTCCCTAGCCTTTTCTCCAGTCCTCAAATAACCCAAGCCTGTCCCTATATCTGGGCTTTTGTCTTTGCCCAGACTATCTCCTTCCCCCACTGCCGTTTTCCTGCTGGCTCCTTTTAATCACTCAGGGAGAAGCTAAAACTGTCCCTCCTTGGGCCTTCCAGACACCTCCAATCTCTAGATGATCATGCTGCCATTTATTTAATTGAATACAATACTATCTGAAATCATCTTTTTCATTTCTTTATTTTTTATTTTATTCCCTATTCAACTTTTGTTTTAAGTTCAGGGGTACATGTGCAGGTTTGTTACATAGGTAAACTTGAGTCATAGGAGTTTGTTGTACAGATTATTTTGTCACCTGGTTATTAATCCTAGTACCCATTATTTTTCCTGATCCTCTCCCTCCTCCCATCCTCCCATCTATTTTTAATTCCTCCACCCTCAAGTAACCCCCAATGTCTATCATTCCCCTCTGTGTGTCCTTGTGCTCTCAACATGCAGTATTTGCTTTTCTGTTCCCATGTTCGTTTGCTAAGGATAATGGCCTCCAGCTCCATCTATGTTCATGCAAAGGACATGATCTTGTTCTTTTCGATGGCTGCATAGTATTCCATATTGTATATATACCACATTTTCTTTATTTAATCTGTCATTATTGGGCATTCTGGTTGTTTCCATGTCTACGCTATTGTGAATAGTGCTGCAATGAACATACTCATGCATGTGTCTTTATGATTTACTTTCTGTTTCTATGGCATGTACATCCTGGAACAGCAAGAATCTTTTCTGTCTTGTTTACCCCTCTAAACTCAGAACCCAGAACTATTCTTGACATACAAAAATAATAATGCAAAATCATTTTCCATTGAATTAATAAATAGCATCTAATATGTTCCACATCTACCATGGGAGAGTAGACTGTAACTAGAGTAGCCAAGTAGAAGAAAAACATTAAACACATACGTAAACTTTAGTCTCCCAAGAGTGGCAAATTATTATTATTTTAATTATCAATTTTTTCAGTTAATAAGTGCCAGTTATTGAGAAAATAATAGTAAGCAAAATAGACCTGACCCCTGCCTGCGTAGGGCTCCCAGAAATTTGGGAAGAGAGATAATTAAATAAGGAATTAAGAATATACAGCTCCCCTCTGAAGTAACTGGTGATTTGTAGAAAGAGCACCTCCTCTTATCCTGAGAGGGCCATGAAGAATAAAAATGTAGGGACTTCTAGACTGAACTGCTCTGACAGACCACAGATACTGTCAACAGGCAGAGTGGCAGAGGAAACCAAAGCTTTGCAAACAAATTCTATACCATACGTAATGAGACAGGCTATAAAGTGTATTTCCATATTCCATCCACACTTGACCCAGGATCTCCACACCTGGGAGCCTCATATTTACTGATGATGAAGCTCCTTTTCTAAATCTTTCTTATTCATATGTCTTAGCTCCAACTCTCTTGTTAACTCTTTTAGAACAGGAGTTATGTCTTATCTCCCTCTTCACAAGCCACACAATCCAATGTAGTAAAGGAAACAAATAGTCTCCCTTGTCCATCTTCACCCAAAGTAATAAAATGGCTGAGAACAAAAGGTGCATTACACAAAGCCAATGATACACACAGCCTTGATAGCCTATCTAAAAGTAACGAGCTGAGTCTGGTAATTCTTTTTAAGAATTAATAGAAACATTATACTACTATATTGAAATATTCAATACTTAGAAACAAGAAGTCCAAGATCTATTTTTAATTCCAAAACAAGGTGTTCTTCACTTTCTTTCTTTTAATAAGGAATCAGAGGATAGCTCTGGTCATCTATCAGTAGTGAGAGGCAAGGGAGCTGAAGCCTGGGTTTGTCTTCAGATGCCAAGGCCAGACCTGGCAGTCAGACTGCTGTGGCCACCAGGGCTTGTTAGTGACATCATAAAGCCAGACCCAGAGAAAGGCTAAAATCACCCACATATGCACACCAACTGGCCACCAACAGAAAAAAATTCAGAAAACAACAGAATCGTAACTCACATTGGCCCCCAGCTTTCAGCCTGCATTCCACCATCGTATAAGTGAAGACCCGTCAGGTTAATAACTGGCCAAGGTCCCACAGCCTGTGAGTGGTAGAAGGGGAACTAGAGTCCCCTCCTGACTCTTTTGAAAGAATAGTTCAGTTATTTAGTCACTGGAAAGCTCCGTTGAGCTGGGAAAACAATCTCTCATCAGTCATAGCTTTCCTCTAAAATCTGCACCCGCACACCTGATGTAAATTGGCTTAACAGAGCTTCTTCAGGCATGATTGTCACCTTGTCTGAATAGCATGAGGTGATTCTCAGAAAAGGAAAACAAATGAGGAGTTTCTGGCTCAGTGCTGAGGAAAGTTGAAACCCATTTGGCCTTCAGCTTTTCAGCACTGCTAGTGTATCCTTTTAACGGTGATTGCTTCAACAAGCATTGTTGAACTGCATTAAGTTGGGATCAATCCACCGCACAGTTCTGAGCCTACCAATGCATGTTTCAGTGGATTTCAAAAATGACTCACTAAATCAATCTCTTTTCCTTCAAAAAGTACAGCTTGAAAACAGGGGAGTTCATCTTTTCCTGAGATGCACCCAAAATTTGAGCCAAAAATTGATCCCCCTTGTATACTGAATGTCTCTTCAATTTCTCCTCATACTTTCCCTTCTTTATTTCACTAACAGCCCCCTAACAGGGGAAAGGGAAATTCACCTTCCACTCAGGCTGTGGCCTTGAAGGTGACCTCTGACCTGGCTACCAATTCTCACTGCAACCTTTGCTGTTGTATCCAAAGAACACTTCAGGCAATGACTAGAAGAGGGGATTGAGGGTGAGGAGAGGAACGTGGGGCCAAAATGGAAGGCAGAACAAAAGTAATGTTTAAGGAATTGGGTCTGGAGAATGTTAATGGAATCAGAGTCGCCCCATTCCAGCACCATGAGCTTGCCTTCCAATAAACCAGGAGGAAAGAGGCCAGATCTGGGTGATGAGAGGGTTGGTGAAGGAGCCAAGTCAAAATATCCCTGCCCTGGGCTCTGATCTGCTCTAATGTGAAGTTAGACAGGAGTGCAGCTATGGCAGCCCTCACATGCATAGCAGTTTTACCTGAACTAAGTTAAGACTAACTAAGCATATTTTTTAAAGTTACCTAATAATCTTCCTATCTAAAGCAACCCAGTTACTCTGCTCTGATCTACCAGGAGTTGGACAGTAACAGCTGACTCTTTTTTTTTTTTTTTTTTTTTTTTTTTTTCTTTGAGAGGGAGTCTCGTTCTATCGCCCAGGCTGGAGCGCATTGGCGCAATCTTGGCTCACTGCAAGCTCCGCCTCCCGGGTTCACACCATTCTCCTGTCTCAGCCTCCCGAGTAGCTGGAACTACAGGCGCCCGCCACCACGCCTGGCTAATTTTTTGTATTTTTAGTAGAGACAAGGTTTCACTGTGTTAGCCAGTCTGGTCTCCATCTCCTGACCTCGTGATCCGCCCGCCTCGGCCTCCCAAAGTGCTGGGATTACATGCATGAGCCACTGCGCCCGGCCCAGCTGAATCATATAATGGAACAAGCCACACACCAGAAGGTATAAGTAGAATACAACTTGATTCTTTTGTTTACTACCCATTCAGACTTCGTCTACGGACTCATTCTTCCTTGCCTCCTGGATGAAATCTTTGGCACATGCCTTAATTCTTTCAGCTGGCTTTAGGCACAAGAACAGTTTCATTTTAGAAATAATTGCCCAGTCAAACATGAAAATAAAAGCCCCAGACTCTTGCCTAAATTAGATTTTCTTTCCTCCTCCAGCATGTTACTGTTTTAGACCTAGAAACACGATGTAGGCAGGAGGCATATGGAGCTGCTTCTCTTTTTTCCCAGCTGTATTCTTCCATTGCTTCTCCTTTAGTTCATAGCCAAGGTCTGACCCCTCCAGGATTGAGCCTAAAGGAGGACAGCATTAGGGGAAAGGATACAACTGAGCATGGCTGATTTGTGATCTGACATTTGGCAAATGTTAGCCCAGTTCTTTGTTTCAAGAGCCTTTGGAGGGTGACTTGGAGAACTCCCTCTTGGTGACCTCCAAACAAGGCTTCCTGGACATGGGTACTGCCTCCTCCACCAGCCCATTCTGACCCTCACAGCTCCTGGGCCCCAGCAGCCTCCCCAGAAATGCTCTCCAGAGTGGTCACATCAATGTGAGTTTCTTGGGCCAAGTATAGGTCAGCTCCTCTCCACCACCATCATTACAGATCCACACACCCCCACAGGAAATTTCACAAATGTTGGTCTTGCTACTAAGGAGATTAGATGGCTGCCAGTGCAGTCTTTTTTTTTTTTTTTCTTTCTTGTCATTGCTGCCAGGCCCATAATGCTAACCACCTCCTCAGGAACGTGTCTGACATCTCTCCCTATGCCTCTATAAACTCCACCAAAGAGCCGTGAATTTTGCAAGTGGACCTCCTAAAGCCCCTCTCTCAGCTTGAGCTGAGGGAAGTACAACATGGAAGAGGGAGGAGAAAGCCACAGTGTTCCAACCATCTTTTTTCTAAGGCATTCTCTCCTTCTTGGCCCTAATCTCTTCCTTATCCTCTAAGTAAGGTTACAAAACTAACTGTTGACCATTTCCTTTGCCAGTTCCGCGTACATGATCTGGCACTCACTTGGAATGTAGGAGTTCTATTATTTTGTTCTCAGCCTTGGCAAAACCAAGAGACAAAGAATCCCATTTGGACAGCTGGCTATGCAGTCAATGCACTGCTCTGCTATCAAATGAATCCGTTACTCAAGCCAAAGAGAGAGTGACAAAGAGAAACTCTTACTCACATAATCAACCCCTTCTACTTATACATGAAAGTCCTTGCCTTTAAAGAGGCCTCTGGCCCAATTACTTTAGATCTATTACAGATATGACGGTGTAGCATCAGGTGGCTAAGGGGATCTAATGGGATATTTTTTTTCTGTTTTCCCAGCTATGATTACTAATGGCTATAGCTGTGAACAAAGGTACTCACAACTCACATTCTCAGTGCAGAGAACTACTGTTATTGTGGCTAGCTCCAGGTCACGTTGCCATCTCTCTCTTCCCTCTCCTCTCCCCATGCTCCTCTCCTGTCTCTATCTCTCTCTCTCTCTCATGCACACACATATATGCGTGCACACGCACACACACACACACACACACACACACACACACACACAGCTTAGTGAAGGGCACCATATCAACAGAACTGGGAGGGAGGGCTCGGCTGGAGGAATGTATTCATTTCCCAGGGCTACTATAACAAATTACTATAAACTTGTGGCTTCAAGCAGTATCCATTTATTGTTGCATTTCTGGGGTCAGAAATCCAATATTGACTTCACTGGACCAAGATCAAGGTGTCATCAGGGCCGCACACCCTCGAGAGGCTCTAGGGGACAACCTGCTTTCTGGACTTTTTCAGTTTCTAGAGCTGCACTGCTAGGCATATGGCTCTGTCTTCTATCTTCAAAGCCAGGAACATATTGCTTTGTTTTAGTTGTCACATTGTCCCCATGTCTGCAATCAAATCTTTCTCTGCTACCTGTTATATGGACACTTGTGATTACACTTAGGGCCCACATAGATTATCCAGATAATCTCCACATCTCAGGATCCTTAATCACATCTGCAAGGTCCCTTTTGGTGTATAAGAGCTACAAGGATTTAAGGACAGCCTACTGGGATTAGAAACTAAATATCTTGGGGGGTTATTACTTAGCCTACTATAGAGAATAATAGTGTTTATGGAAAGAAAATTTCCTTTTCCAGCACCTTCCCCAAAGCCAAGTAAGAGAGATCTCCATAAAATTACTTGTTGTGGAAGGCACTGTTGACTGCCTCTCCCCAGCCCCAAACCACTGTTCTTTTGCCTGTTCTACTACACAGACTACAAAAGCTAAATCCTTACTATCCCAGCTGCCCCTATAGCTAATGATAGCCATGTGGTAGCATGCTAGCCAGGGAGATCTAAGTGGAAATCTTGACAGTACCAGCCTTCCCCCTTCTTCCTTGTCTCGCAGGTAGAATGTGGCAGTTCAGGCTACAGCAACCATCTTGGAGGAAAAACTCAAGAGACGGGCAGCAGCGCTGGCTCTGAAGTGTCTGGATCACGA
Organism: Homo sapiens; assembly: GCF_000001405.40. Lineage (NCBI taxonomy): Eukaryota > Metazoa > Chordata > Mammalia > Primates > Hominidae > Homo > Homo sapiens. The sequence continues at coordinate 118,579,747 of NC_000005.10, forward strand.
AACTAATTCCAACAACCAACTACATCACATAGGAAGATCATTCAGTAGGTACGAGCAAGGGGTTCTGAGGTTAGGTTGATGGGGGTGGATCCCAGCTCCACTTCTCAATGGTTCTGTGACCTTGTGCAAATCACTTATCCTCTCTGTGCCTCAGAAAAAGAAAGGAGAAAATGCAAACAAATGCCAGTACACCGTAAGCACTCAACAAACATGAGCTATGGTATTCTTTTAACTCCACACTTTTAGAAGTTTGTGCCAGTTCCTTATTGAAAAGGGAATTCACAATTAAGATAGTCTTCTGTCAAAAACGTGGGGCAGAAACTTAAGTCCTGGGGGCCTGTCCATGGACAAAAGCAAACCCAAGAGTAAACAGAGTCACAGAAGTCCTGCCAGCAGCAGCTGAGAGGAGCGACTTTGAGGTTTTCTAACTGCAACACAGCAACCATACTGTTCAGCTGCATACCACCCCACATGCTGAACACACACCCTGACCTCCACATGCCACCCAGACCACAGCCAGGGTCCCTGAAGGCCCTCTCGCATTTTGCACCAACCACAGATCACATACTTACAGGAATGAGATGAGAGGATTCCTAGGAGATAAGACCTGTACTTGATTTTCTTATATCACTGAGCATCTTGCTTACCTCAGGATATGAGTGCTCTTACCAAATATTATTCAAAAATTAGGGCCAAAAAATACAGGCAAAATGACTACCCTAGGTATTAAGGGTCATTAGAAGGAGTGTGTCATTCAGATGTTCTTTCTATTTCTGGATTGCCAGAGCAAGGCGTCAAAGACTCAAGGACACAATTTCAAAAACAGAATGGACACCCAAGGAGGATAAGTGAAAAATCCAATTTTGGCCATCACCATGACATCTCATTATTGTTCCCTTTTGGTAAGATTCACCTGAAACTCTCTAGAGGTATTTTTTCTCCCCAGACATCCTGAACTGAGGCACACTGAGAAAGACAGTGAAGATCACAGTGAGAGAGGAAAATACCAACCCTGGGCACACATCTGCAGTCAGCAGAAGGGTCAGGGCATTAAGTTTGGATAACTGAGAGCACCAGAGGGGCAGAATATGACAAGTAAACCACCCAGAAGAGAGGACAGCCTGGCAAGCAATAAATTTGGCATCTGGAGAAATAAGGTTGGACAGATATGGAGAGCCAGGGAAAACAAGCAGTAAATTATAATTTTTTTTTTTTCAAAAAAGGAAGAAGGCAGTCTGATCTTTTGGGAACTTCTCATGTCATTGGGATTGTTGGCATTTTTCTGTAAGTCTAACAAGATGGTCAGAGTTAATGTGATTCTGTGAGTGTACTAGGAAAGTACCCGTGACTCTAAACCAATAGGCAGAATTTCCAAAAGAGCAGAGCATCATTCCTTTGGAATTAGTTCAGAGAAATACTGATGAATTTCATAACCGTCTTCTGGAATAGTATAGCCCAAACACTTCTTCTTTTTAATATTGCAAAATGTTTCCGTTTTGTTTTTTTTTTTTTTTTATCACAGGGAGCTAACTCAGCACACACTCACTTTATCTGACTCGTGTCGCTTGGAAGGGCAAGAGTGCTTCAGGTAAGAAAATAAAGATGCTACTAATAGGACCTGCCCATGGAGGAGCAAGATGCACTGCAGCCTCACCTGATTTATCTTCAGTAATAGTTTCCAGGAGAAGAGAGACACAGTGAGAACGAATTGCATTCTATGTAATGTTTTGCTTCAAAGGATGCTTTGGCTCATTTTTCTGCTGCTTGTACATGCTGCAAATGAGAAAGTACCTGGCTGACAGTTTGCCTTCTGATTTATAGGAAAGGTCATTTAATCCCAAGTAAGCATTTTGCTAAATAGTAAGCTCTCCCATCCTCCCCAACCCTTTCCCGAGTCCCTTTATATTTCTTGGTATAACTTGAGTTTCTGGTCTGTACCTATAGAAGGAGCAAATGAAATGTTCTTATGACTATATTGCTCAAGGTGATTTTTAGGTGTGAATTTGCAAAATATTGAGTGGAGTAATTTGAGTTTTACATATATATATATGACTTTCATGATTAGTTTGAATATAAATATGACACTATATACTTGTGATACATGTAGCTAGAATATTCATGAAATTAATCAGTAAATACTATTTGTATCAATGATATTTTCATACAATATTTATGGCATTACCAAAAACAAAAAAACTTAGACTCTGCAAAATACAGCATCAGGAAAATAAAACCCGTTTTTCCTCACTTGCAAACTTCTGAGTTTTAGAATATTTTTATATAATATTGGTTCAAGTTAAAGAAAAACTGCCTAGAATTATATTTTTCAAAGTATATCCCTTTAAATGTAAATAATGACCTATTTTTCTTCCAAGTACTTAATGATATCATTGCAATTACCAGAGACCCCAAGGATAGAAAATAACAGTCTCAAAACAATTATCTCCCTTACAGGCAGAACAAAAAAAAAAAAAACTCACTACCATCAGAGATATCAGAAAATAAATTAACAGAAACAGAGATATTTACATATCTTCAATAAAAGTACATCATCAAGAAGTCAGAGCATAAATAAAGGCAGAGGAAAACCCTTGCACTTGCCCTCAAAACAATGTGCTGAAGTGTCCAGAGCCTCATACTCTCTAATTCTTTCTATATTAAAATGGTATATCACACCTGCCAAGAGACCAAGGTGAAAGCAGAAGGTCACTGGCGATGTTTGCTGGTGTGTAATTGTTTGCCGAGCAGCAAAGTTATCAAAGAGCTGGTCCTGTGATTGGGACCAGGTCTGGCTGGTTTCGTGGTCTGGCATGGTGGTCCAGGATGTGCACCTGTCACAAACACAGGTAGAGACACCAGCCCTGGCCCAGGAAAATAGAAGAGGCAGATAAAACCACACTTGCCACCCAGTGTCAATAAAGCCCTAGACTGTCCGCAGCTCAATTCAGTGCTATTATTATTCCTCTTCAGGTTCTAAAGGCTTATTTATTTTTATTTTTTTTATTATTATACTTTAAGTTCTACGGTACATGTGCACAACGTGCAAGTTTGTTACATATATATACAAGTGCTATGTTGGTGTGCTGCACCCATTAACTCATCATTTACATTAGGTATATCTCCTAATGCTATTCCTCCCCCCTACCCCCACCCCACAACAGGCCCCGGTGTGTGATGTTCCCCTTCCTGTGTCCAAGTGTTCTCATTGTTCAATTCCCACCTGTGAGTGAGAACATGCGATGTTTGGTTCTTTGTCTTTGCGATCGTTTGCTGAGAATGATGGTTTCCAGCTTCATCCATGTCCCTACAAAGGACATGAACTCATCATTTTTTATGACTGCCCAGTATTCCATGGTGTATATGTGCCACATTTTCCTAATCCAGTCTATCATTGTTGGACATCTGGGTTGGTTCCAGGTCTTTGCTATTGTGAATAGTGCCGCAATAAACATACGTGTGCATGTGTCTTTATAGCAGCATGATTTATAATCCTTTGGGTATATACCCAGTAATGGGATGGCTGGGTCAAATGGTATTTCTAGTTCTAGATCCCTGAGGAATCGCCACACTGTCTTCCACAATGGTTGAACCAGTTTACAGTCCCACCAACAGTGTAAAAGTGTTCCTATTTCTCCACATGCTCTCCAGCACCTGTTGTTTCCTGACTTTTTAATGATTGCCATTCCAACTGGTGTGAGATGGTATCTCATTGTGGTTTTGATTTGCATTTCTCTGATGGCCAGTGATGATGAGCATTTTTTCATGTGTCTGTTGGCTGCATAAATGTCTTCTTTTGAGAAGTGTCTGTTCATATCCTTCGCCCACTTGTCGATGGGGTTGTTTGTTGTTTTCTTGTAAATTTGTTTGAATTCTTTGTAGATTCTGGATATTAGCCTAAAGGCTTATTTTTAATTCAAATAACTATTCTCAAAATTAAATTGAGCCCATTTTCAAAGCCAAATTTCATGAGACACTGCAATCCAAGACAATACTTTACTCTGTATAAATGTGTTCCCTCTCCTGCTTTCTCTTGATGCAATTCCATCAAAGCTGTTCAGTTCTGCAATTCTATTAAGACCATTATTTGTCTTACATTTGACATATCCCCTTGGCTTGTGTATTAGCTAACCTGGGGGGAAAACCTTCCCTGAAGGTATTCCTGCCTTCTGTAATAAATCATTTCAGATTTCTCTGTGATATCTCCTCTGATATTTTGTTAATTTGAACCTCAGAAGATCTTGTGATTTCTGGGGTTATTTTACCCTTCATAATAATGCGGTCGCTTTGTATCAGAACAAATCTCTAAAAATAAGTTCAATTTTAGCATTCACTGAGTTATGCTAATTTCATAGCACCTGAGAGTTTCAGTTGTTCTCTAAGGAATGGTCATCTATCATGTTTAACTTGCTTTTCAGTTATTTTCTATGTTAAAAAAAATACATGTTTGCTCTTTCAGCCACAGCAGAATCATCATTGTACTTCAGATATCTAACTGCCATAATGAACATTCCCAGACTAAGAGCAGATCACAGTTCAGTCTGGGGTCTGTCTTTCCCAAGTGTGAGCCTGAAAGTGAGGTGACAGTTTGGTAAAATATACCCCTGACATCCCCTCTACCGACTGAGTGATAGTGATCTTCAAAATTGGACATGGTCATCTCTGAGGGTAACAGAAAAATATCTAGGGAGTGTGAAGCCTATGTTTAGATCCTCAATTTCTTTATGTACACATTCCTAAAACTGATTTTCTTGAAATAGTGCTGGAGGTCATACGGGTCCTCACCCCTTTTATAATATACCTTTTCTTACTTAATGCTGGTGCATTTTCTCAAGTGGTTGTACAAAGAGAGAAGATAAATGGTCTTATAAGCAAGTCACCTTAACAACCTCTCTCAATCCAATTCATTATGGAATGCATTCCCCCTACGATTTTACTTTCATGGGTAATAATTTATTATAATTTGTAACAAATGTACATTGTTTGACCCATTGTATGTGAGAAATAATTGTAGTAAGTCAATTTAAAAGAAAAATGTTCACATTTTAGAACCCTATGATCATATGAATTTTTTTAATTTAACTTTATGTATTTATTTTTGTTCTAGAGAATTATGGTGAAGTGAAAGGCTTTCAAACATAACAATATGTTACATTAGAATGCGTCACTGTATAGAAGGAAAACAGAAATATGATAGCTAGACTAAGAAAAAAATGATGCAAGAGTTTCTAGTATTAAAAAGGTGCTTCTTCATGCATTTTTAAAACAGATGATGGTGGAAATCAAATCACTATGGAATTCATATATTTGGAATTCAAATATTTGTTAAATATATTCAAAAGAGTGATCTGAAAGTTTTATTCAAGATGTCAATATTTGCCAAATACTATTATAGAAATTATATCCTTCGGAACATTTAAATATATAATGAAAATGTTTAAGTGACAACTTTAAAATGTGGAGGAGAATACCTAAGTTGAACACTATTGTTATATATCCAGGTATCTGTTGGCGAGAGAGAGATTGAGATTATCTATACTTGCAAAGTGATTGGCAGATCACTTCTGACACTCACCTAAAGGTTAAAAGTATTAAGTCTAGAAGAATGAAATCATTTTACATTGGACATGTTAATGCCAAATAATCCAATATAAATATGAATAATTTGAAAAGGCCATCTTTAGTCAATTTCCACTTATTACGTCCAAGTCAGTAGATCCAATGTAACACAATTCACAGTTGGCTTAGGCCCCTGTCGTTTTCACAACACCCATGAGGGGTACTATATTAAAAGAACAGTAAGCAGACGAAAGAATAGGTCAAACCAAACTGAAAAACTGAAAAACCAAACTTACAAATGAGAAATACTGTTATGAACATATGCATAAAATGTTATTTAAAGATGTCAAGATAGAATGTTTGCTACAGAACATGGATGAATCTGACAGCCTAAATTCCTTTATTTCTAAACATCTCAGTTCATCTCTTCCTCCTGGGAATCTAAGCATGTCAATTCAAGTGAACTGGGCCATTCACAGAGGTTTATTCTCCCTCCTCCCCAACATACTCAGATTCATTTGGGTAAACACACAGTCCTTATCCCTCTCATCTTCCTTCTTCCTTTCTCCCTTGGTGTGATCCATGGGCTGCATAGACATTGACTTTTGTAGAACCCTGGCTTCAGGAGGAATGGGGTATCTTGTTCACTAAAATTCTCTGCTCACACTGGCTTCCACTGAGATATAATTTGCCTCATGTGGGTCTCCAGTGGTATCCAGTATTAAAGTCTGCAATCTTGAACTAGCCTCAGATGGCCAGGTCATACTGTTTGAGTCGTTCTCAGCCTAACCATGAGATCTATGGAGCCCAGCTGTTATCTTTTGATTGTTCTGTACCTCACATAGGGGCACTTGGACACTGTTATGAGCTGAATTCTGTCCCTCCAAAATTCACATGTTGAAGTTATAACAACCAGTACCTCAGAATGTGACTGTATTTGCAGATAGGGCCTTTAAAGAGAGAATTCAGGTAAAATTAGGCCATGGGTCCTAATCCAATATGACTGGGGTGTCCTTATCACCAACAGACACAGAGACACAGAGGGAAGACTATGTGAAGACGCAGGGAGAAGACAGCCATCTACGAGCCAAGGAAAGAGGGCTCAGAAGAAATCAACCCTGATGACATCTTGATTTTGGACTTCTAGTCTTCAGAACTGTGAGAGAATACATTTCTGTTGTTTAAGCTGCCCAATCTGTGCTATTTTGTGATAGCAACCCTAGAAAACTAATACAGGCACTCTCAGCTGCTCCCCTTGTGTTCAGGTGGTAGCACGGAGGACTCAGCTTGTGACCCTCAAGGTATTCAGCCCAAAAATACCTCCCTCAGTCAGTGCCGGTCCACTGATCAGCACCTTGTGAAGATGCGGCTGCTCTCAGAGGCTTGCATATGCCTGGATATCCCTGGGCTACTCCACTCTTGAAAAATCTCCAACATATTTAATCTTTGGTTTCTGCTCCTTTCCTCCCCACCCTCAACTTGTTTGACAGTTTTAGCCCGGGACTGTTCGTGGGGGGGAACAAAAAACAAACAAACAAAAATGGATCCCAGACTCCCTTCACAGACAGTATGGCCAAGGACTTATTCCATCACTTTGTCTTTCACTAGACTTTCCTTCTCCTATTGGTGAATTTGACCTTCTTTCTGAATGGCAGGAAAAGTTGGCCAGAGATAGTCTTCTAACCCCATTGTTTATGCCAGGACCTGGGTTCTTGATTTTCAGTAAGTCTCTTCTCTCAATGCTGTCTTCCCAACCCAAATTTACAAAAATATATTTTAGAAATTCAAAAGCCAAGAATTGGACTCTTGGGACTTTTTGTTACTTCAGTATTATAGCTTCCACGAGGGCAACGTGAATAGTGAGCTATTGTTGCATACTGAAGAGCGAAAGTAGCTCATATCTTCCATTCATTCATCCATTTTCTTCAACAAATACTTATTGAGGCCTTACTTCATGTCAGGCACTGTTTCAGATACAAGTGTAAACAAAGATATGTCCTTACCTATATGGACCTAACATCCTGGGGCAGGGAGAGTGGCAATGGCAACAAATACATATATAAATATATATATATATATATATATATATATATATATATATGCACATATGAGAGTAGCAAGTGAAGAAACACAAAGCAGGGAAAGTGTCCAGTGAAGGGGTTCCTGGTGGTTAGGAAATGTCTCTCAAAGGAGGTAATAGTTTGTGTACAGACCTGAAGGGATTGGGGGAGTAAACAATTTTAATTTTTTGGTCAGTGTCTTCCTAGCAGAGAAAACTACAAGTGCAAAGCTCTGAGTTAATGAGGTACCTGTTGTGTTCAAGGAACACCAGGAAGGCCAGCATGGCTGGAACAAATGGGCCATTAGAGGAATGTGGTCAAAAGGAGATCTGGGTGGCAGGGGCAACCCTTAGAACCCAAGGAACCAGAAACCATGGGGTTGAAAACTCTGTTAACTTTATTAAATATTAACCTACTGAGTTTACATCTTATTAAAGTATGATAGCTTCTACAAGACTGTTTTGAGGGAGAAAAAAGAGGAGTAATGTAGCTACCAGTGACAAGAAAGGAGAGTTGATTGAGTTAAAGATTCAGAAAAACAAGGCAGATGGAACAAGAATTTGGCTGAAATGATTACAATACAAAAATACTCCACCCTAACAAGTATGGGGCAAGCTCAGGGCTATCATGACTGTCACTCAGGCAGTGTTCTAGACAAGGATACCTGGGCAAGGAGGTGAGTGGGGTTGAAATCCAGCTGCCTACCGTTTGCCATGCCGCACCGTGGTACAGGGCTGCATTCAACTGGATGTGTTTTCTAATTCACATCAGGGTGCTATATAGGCTTGTATAGCCCTAGATGTACTGTGCATTGCTAGTGGAGCAGCAGATTCCCCTAGAAACCTATGTAGCAATATGTATCAAGAGTCTTAAAATGTTGAGTGCTTTTAACCCAGTAATCTTGATATTAGGAAATATTTTCTGAGTTCTTTTGCATGACTGCCATTATTCCATTTTTGCTCTGCACCCTACATTTTACAGAGTTTATGGCTATCTGGTTTTGGGTTTTCTCTTTGCTCACCCTCTGCCAATCCTTTCCTAGCCTGACACACAGTGTGGTATATGTGGATTTGGCATTATGCTATGTAAATAGGCTAACTAGGCATCTAAGGTGAGGCAAGAACCACATCTACATGCAGACACCCAAAGCCAAAATGTTCAAACCAAGGTTAATAAATCCAAACACCATCAACAGTCAAAGCATAAAGCAAGCTGAAATGGACAAGTAGGCGGAAAGTCCAAAAATACTAACAAGTAAGTCTGAAGGAAACAGCAGGTAATCCTGTGCACAAGGGCCCAGATGAAATCTTGTTCAATGGCTGGTTCTGTTCTACCATCCTTTATCTGCGGTGGGTCCTCATGTTGGTATCCCAAGCCTTAGGGCACTGTGGCCCAATCTCTTACACTTCACCAAATATGAAAGAAGAAAACAGTAGAGGATAAACCATAGAGGCAGCAAGCATGCTTCATCTCACAATCTAACTCCAGTTGCTTGAAATGGCTCTTTGCAGCTCTGTGTGAATGTGGATCATGATTTGTCCCCCATGAGTGAAAATACAGAGAGCAGCGTCATTACTCCTCAGAAACAACCCTTTCTCTAATATACGCACCACCTCTCCTGCTGCTCAGGAGAAGGGAAATCTGTTTCCAGGGATGACTTAAAATGGGGTAAGAGCTGCTGGGTAGGAAAGCCTAGTATGGAGAGAGTCTCAAGATGTTCTGTAAAAACTGCAAAGTGGGGATTATAGTAACCACACTTTTTATTTCTGTAAATGATCTTTTAACATTTACAAAATAGCTATTAGTTATTATAAAACCCTGGCTTACCCAAACTATCTGGAGACTTCAGATAACCCCAAACCACATACCTTAACAGTTGCAGTGAACGCAAATTTCACAGGAGTGCCACGTTCAAACATAGCCAGCCAATCCTAAGTCCACATACTCTGCCCTGCCCACCCCTTCCACAGAAACCACAATAATGGTATTTGCTCATCATCCTGTCCCCTCTCTCTGCCTCCTGAAAGACCCTGGTACTTCCTCCTAGTGACCCTGTATGGCCTGCTATGTCCTCCCCAGGGAACTGTGAGTATAATAAAATTGGGAAACTCTTTCCAGTTTCTCTCTCTTGATCTGCATCTGACCTCATCATACCTCTCCCAAGATAATATGATTAAAACAGGGGGCCAGGTGTGGTGGCTCATGCCTGTAACGCCAGTACTTTGGGAGGCCAAGGCGGGTGGATCACTCGAGGTCAGGAGTTCGAGACCAGACTGACTGACATGGCAAAACCCTGTCTCTACTAAAAATACAAAAAAAAAAAAAAATTAGCTGGGCATGGTGGCGGGTGCCTGTACTCCCAGCTACTCAGAAGGCTGAGGCAGGAGAATCACTTGAACTCGGGAGGCGGAGGTTGCCGTAAGCTGAGATTGCACCAGTGCACTCCAGCCTGGGCAGCAAGAGCAAAACTCCACCTCAAAAACAAAAAAAAACCAAAAAAGCAGGATGGGGTCCTTTTTCCTCAGAGTCCCATGACTGTGAGAAAGCCATGGATACCTAAAGAAAACAGAGGTTCTATTAGAAAACAGAGGTTCTATTAGCAAAGACATGGTGGGGAAGAAGGGGAGATTATGGGTTCAGAAATGGCAAACACAATGTTTAGTTCAAGTAGCAGGGAACTGAGGCAGAGAACAATTAACATTTAAAAAATACTGTTAGGAAGACAAAATAATAGCCGAGTGGACTAAAATTAGTGAAAAGAAACAGGTAAATTAAGCAAATTGGCCATTCAGTGAATTGTCTTTCAGCAAATTAACCCATAACGGATATAATTGGTAATAAAGAAGGAATGGAATTTAACAAAGATTTAGTAATTGTCCCTGAGGGATGACCTAACAATTGCAAATGTTGGATGTCATTGTAAACAAGCCTTTTAAATTTTAAAGATTACTTTTAAAGCAATACAGTGAGTGGTTAGAGTGTAGAGATCATAAATACATACCCACAGGACAAATAAAAAAAAAACTGTCCTAATGTTACGCAAATGGATTCTAGTGGCTTGGGATAAATTTCCAGTGACAGGATCATGCATGATTCACAAAGTACTGTATCTCAAACAACTTCAGTGGAAGTGAAGGTGACATGCCTAACAAAACTGCATTAGAGCATTCAAAAAGTGGCTATAGTGATGATGAAGACATGGATGTCAAAGATAAATGTGAAGAGCATGAAGAAAAATGAAAGTTAAAAAAAAGAAAAAGGTCTTTAAATGCACATTATTTTATCTAGCGTAATTTTAAACATCAGCACACCTAAATTAAATATAACAACTATGCTCTTGGCTGTTTTATCTATATCTCTTAATGTTTATTTATTCAAGTTTGAAAAACAAGTTGTTCCATCTTCTCATAAGGAAACCAGAAGATTAAGGTCACTTTATGGATAGGGCTTACAGTAAGCAGGTAGTAGGAAATGATCAGAGTCATGTGATTCCAAATGACAAAGAACATGACTTGACCTTGGAATCTAGGAAAGCTCTCTGAAGAAATGCTACTTAAGGGCTGACAAGATCAAAGGGGAAAAGGAAGGCTGTTCCAGAACAAGTAACTAGCAGGCACAGAGTCCTGGGGCAGAAAGAGGCCCGCGCTGGGAACTGAAAGCAGGTTGTGGAGCAAAGGGAAAGAAGGGGAGTGTGGAGCAAGATGAAGCTGGAGGCATTTCAGAGCCATGAGAGATGCTAATCATTTTGTCTTCATGTAAGAGTGAAAAGAAGCTAATAAAGAGGTAGTGATTGCAAGTGGACCAAACATGAGATGTTGGCAAGTTAGTAGATGATGGCCAGATCCCAGATCACACAGTGCCCTGCAGGCCACAGAAAGAATTTAATGTGGTTTGGTTTTGGCTTTAGTTTTGGTTATTGTGTTTTGTTTTGCTTAAGTGTGATGGGAGCCACCACCGCAAGGTCGCAGTGAAATGATCTGACTTACATTTTAAAAGCAACAATCCAGTTGCTGGATTGAATGGCAAAAGGGAAGGATAAAAAAGGGGAAGATAATTGAGAGGTTATCACCCTGGTCCTGTATTACAGGCAGAGGCTGGCTGCATGGGGGTAGCAACAGAAATGAAGACAAGTAAATGCAGTGAAGAGAGGGAGGGAGGATTTACAGATGCCTCTTAAGATTTCTGCATTACCAGGATGCTTGTGCATGTCACTGAGATAGGGAACACTGGGAAACAACCAGCTTCGAGGTGGAGAAAATCATGAGAGGTCAGAGCGTAACTGAGCGTAACTGAGGTGGAGTGAGACTTCCTTCCTCCGTGCCCGTCTTTCAGTGGCAGATGGACAATAGCATGTTAATGTCCTATATATTACAGGTATGGAGACTTTCATTTTCCATGTACCTCATAAACAAAGGAAAGTTCCAGGACACATGGTAGAATCACCCAATTTGCTCCATGGGAGGTGGGGTTTACTGTAATTTTCACCTCATGTTTGGAAAAGAAGGAGATATTTACCATTTCTTGTAAGTATACTGAAAGAAGCCTTGTGGTCATGACCATGCAATAGTGCTTTATTGGACACTTGTGGATCAAGGATCTGAACCGAAAACAGAATCCAGGGAAAGGTGCTGATGATCCTAAAAACTCCTGATGACCCTAAAAACTATCTTTTTTCAGAATAGAAGGCTAGTTTTGATACAGAAATCAAGAGCATGGGAAGGAAACTTCTGTTTGTTTGTCACCTGCTCTGCTGGCTTCTCATATGGTTCAATATTTCTCCTCCATTAGGAATACTGTAAGATGACGCCTTGGGAGCAGATGGAGAATGTCTTTGTCTGCAACACTGAAGCCACAGAGCAGTAAGCCAACACTAACACTGGGGACAACCATCCACATCTGTGTCACTCCCACAGATGCTGAGAAGACAACTCCCAATATGGGGCAAATGCATGGACTTGGGAAATGTCCTTTCTTGTGGGAGAAGAAAAAGAGAAAGTACACTTCTGACACATTCAGCAAACAGGGAGTTAAGCATACTGGGCCGCCTTCCCTAATGTGTGTGTAGTGACACAGTCAAGGAGGTCACCATGGATACATCTGGCTGCATCTGCCTGAGTTATTTGTATTGAACAGATTGCTACAGGGTGTTTTTTTTCTGGTCCCATTATGTGCATGTAATGCCAATTAAATAACAGAAATGAAAATTAAAAAAGAAAATATCTGCCCCTGCTGGGTTTAATCTCATTAGCGCAAAGTCAAATGATTAGTCCCAAAAAAAAAGGCTCCAACAGGCAGCAAAGACAGCAGTAAAGCTGCAAGTATCTTTTGCATCACACCGAGAAAATGAATCAGAATTGCTCACTCAGTTGAAGACACCAGAGCCTTTCCTATCATAAGACCATGTTATGGCTTGAGGACTATTGAGTTGGGTCTCTACCTGAATGAACAACAGGGAGACTACCATAGCACATCCCAAACTTCAAATTAATAATAAAAAAAATTGCTACGTCAGCCATTTTAAGGACAGGTGTCGTGTTTCCTTGGGTGGATTGTAAAACTTGGCAGATGTTTACTTTATAGTGCTCTAAGACTAACATAATCTTTAAGCATCAGATTATTTTTCAGATTAATCAAACCTTCCAGCTATAATGTTGCCACCAGAACTGAGCAGCTCTCGATTAAAATGCTAAATAGAAGAGTCTGCCCAATTTCAGGCTCAAAGTTCATTTAAAATGAAGGGCTTCAGCAGCTTAGAAGTACACCAGCAGGGGGCTTATCCTCAGCTAAGCCTCAGGTGGAAAACACCAAGTGTTCCCTCCCTTCAGAAAGTTTGAGAAATATCAGCTACAGCTACAGGATATTCCAAGGAGAAGACCTGAAATGGCCAGCTGTGTAAAAATGACCAAGCCCAGGTTTTCCTCAGGGACTCACTGACATTTACTTTCAAAGTACTTTATCCCCTTTTCTCATTTTACCTTCACCCTGAAAAGCAGAGAAAACAGAAATCATGTCAATATTTTAGGTGAAGAAAGCAAGGTACAGATGAGAAACCCAGTTCTCCTGACCATCTTTTAGTTAATTGCTCCACCAAGCCCTCCAGGGGCCAGTCAAAAGGAACCAGGCACAGACACATAATCATCTATCTTGAAAAAACTTCAGCTGGGATGAGGCATGCACCATGCCTCATATGGTGCTATAAAATGACTTACTTTGCCTGCCCAGGATGGAGACAACTGGACATTTTCCCAGCCCCTAACCAGTGAAAAGTAATCTTCCAGATTAAGCAGTCTTTAACAGAGGTCCAGAGTTAGACCTCAGGAGGCCTCTGAATCACCTTACATAATATGCAAACATGTGTGTTTGTGTGTGTGTGTGTGTGTATGTGTGTGTGTACATGACTTCTGAGAGAATGTAAAACTTTCATCAGATATTGTACCTCTCTGACCTATAAAAAGTTGAGTCCTGATCTCTACAGATGAAGAGACCCACACTTATTTTGAAAAGGCTAAAAAGAAAGCCAGAGCTGCCTACATGAGTGTGGGTAGTCTCTATTCAAAGCAATGGAGACCCCATGAGACAGGACATTCTCAAGGAGAGGCAATGCTCTGGAATGGGAAGATCATAGGATTTTGGATTCAGATAGATATAGGTTTGCAATATTAACCATGTGGTCTTCATCAAGTTACTAAACATGTCTTATGTTCAGTTTCCTCCCCCATAAAATTTTTAAAAATGAAAATATTTAAAATAATGTAAATAATCAGTCCCAACTTTCAGGGTTGTTGCAAGGATTCAGTGATGAATCAGCGATAAATCAAGTCCCTGACAAATGGAAGATTTGCAATAAATGTTGGTTTACTTCTCCTATTTGGCATCCTTGAGAAAGAATAAGAATAAAACCAAAATACAGATTTGACTCTGCCTGGCAAGCAATCAAGAGAAGAGGATCAACATGTGGCCTGACCAGAGAAAAGAGAAGAGATATGCAAGAACTTCACAAAATGAGTTAAGAACAGGGCATGGCGCCACATGTTCTTGGGCCAGCCCCAGCAGATGGGATCCTGGACAGCAGGACTCAAACCCAAACTTTGGGACTTCAGTCCAACCCTCTTCCCACGTTTCCTCCATAAATCCTGCTTCCACATGCCTCTGTTGTTTCAGTTTTGCATTCTCTCCCTCTCCATTTAATGATAGGGCTAAAAATAGTTTGCAATTAAATACACAAATCTATTAACTTGAAACAAAAAAGGTAATGTGCTTATATAAAATAATTTCTATATCACAAGCCAACTG